>NC_000012.12:116248006-116399521 GCF_000001405.40 Homo sapiens
TACTTTAAGAATATAGGTAAAATGCAACAAATAAAGAGATGAAAGACTAGGCTGGTGAGGAAATCTAAACATGTCATATGGCTAGAGGCTATCTAGCCGCACATTCAATCCTTTCAAGCAAATTAACACGGCAACAAGAATAAAATAGAAGAATAAAGCCATGTGATAAAAATAACACAGCTGAATGAACTTAATACATAGTTAAAATGATTCTGAAGTTATTTAGTCTTCTGTTATATGGAAGGCTGATATGTAGAAGATTAATTACATTTGCTCAGCACAGTCCCAAGTGGTATCAACAGAACCAAATGGAAAAACTGATGATTAAAGCAACAACAACAGTGAGAGCTCCCTCTAGAAATAAATCCCTGACTGAGAGTTAATCATAGATATGGGGGGTTAAGGAGAAGCTGGTCAATACTAGATTAGGACACTGTAGAGTGGCTTCAAATATCAAAGGGCTAATTGAACAATATGACTTAAAGGGTTCCTTTCACACCTGAAATAAGAGTCTCAAGGATTCCATCCAACAATAAGATTTCATAATTCTAATATCATTTCTATTTCAGTCAACTAACTCAAGGGCTAGCAAACTGTGGTCTGGGGGCTAACCACCTGTTTTTGTAAATAAAGTTTTATCAGTACACAACTGTCCCATTTATTTGCATATTGTCTGTGGCTGCTTTCAAACTACAACCACAGAGTTGCAAGTGGGGCCACATGGCCCAGAGCCTGAAACAATTACTCTGGTTCTATAAGAAAAAGTCTGCTGATACCTGAGCTAGGATAACATACACAGACAAATGTGACATTTAAAATATAAATAAGCACCAAATTGTTCTCCAACTATAAACAACCAGAAAACTGGACAGAATATATAAAATTACTGTTTTCAGACACTAGACAACAGGGAGTACAGAGCTAGACTCCCTGAGAGAAGGCATACAAATGAGGTGGGCCCTACAAAGGCCAAGACAGCTGGAATTTGTGGAGACAGATCACCAGAAAGAATATTCAGGAAAAAAGCTCCAAAGATCTGATAGAGGCTCTTTTGAAACTGTTCCTAAGTACTAGGCTGCACATTCAAACAGTAAAATTCAACAAGGTCAGGCAGAGAACTACTGGGAGCTATCACTCCAAGAGTTCACCTAAAGCTGGGAGGCAGTCAAGTTCTGAACAGCCAGAGAGAAAAAACACTGTTAAACACCTTGGGCACTGAATAATGCCCATAAAATGACCATACCTCATAAGGAGGAAACCAGTGCTAGCATAAAGTCTATTCTAACCCAAGCTAATAATCAAGCCTCAGAAAAAAAGTATGCTAATAATAATAGGCTGATCTTATTAACTGCCAGTAACTTAACTACCAGCCAATACAAAATTCAACTCTTTAAAGGAAGGAAATAAAATCCAGACTTTCAACAACACTCACAATGTCCAGCAACCAATAAAAAATACCAGACATTCAAAAAGTAGAAAAATGGGACTCATGACTGTAAGAAAAGTCACTTAACAGAAACAGACCCAGAAATGAAAGTAATGATGAAATTAACAGACAAGCCAATTAAAGCAGCTATTATAAATATGGTCAAGAATTTAAAGAAAAACACAAACATAAGGACAGAAATGGGGGATTTTTTTAACTAAGTAAAATTTCCACAGCTCAAATATGCAAAATATAAAATGAAAAATTCGCTGTGGGTTTAACAGCAGATTAAGTACCTACCCAAAAAAAAAAAAAAAAAAAAAAAAAAGTCAGGGCTTTAAAACATACGATATTAACTATCCAAGCTGAAAAACAAATAATTTGTAAAACAAAACATAATAAACAAGCCAAAGTGACTTCTGCAGTCAGCACAGTATCAGGCAATCTAACATACACGCCATTAACGTCTCAGAATGTAGGAGAGAAGGGGGACAAAAATAATTTCAGAATAAGGACCACACTGTCTCCAAGTTTCATGAAATCAATAAACCTATGATCTAAAGAGTTCAGTGAACCCTAATGCAGCATAAACTAAAAAAAAAAAAAAAAAAAAAAAACACACCAAAATACATCAAAATAAAATTTGTAAAAACCAGTGATAAAAAGGAAAATATTACAAGTCGGCAGAGGAAAAAAAGATACATTACATAAGAAAAAACAAAGATAATATTAACTACAGACTTCTCATCTGAAAATATGCAGGCCAAAAACAATGGAAAAATATGCTCAAAGAAAAAAACAGTTCCCAAATCTAGACTTTTAGATCAAAGACGAATAGCCCTCAAAAATTAAGGTAAAATACAGACTTATTTTTAGATGAACAGAAGCCAACAGACCTGCAGTAAAATAAATGTAACTAGAATAATTTTTTTTTTTATTTCTTCAGGTACGAGGAACACGACACAAGATAGAAACCTGGATCTACACAAAAGAAGAACAATTACCAGGAATAGGTAACATATAAATAAATAAAAAATACTTTTTTTCTCGGCCGGGCATGGTGGCTCACACCTGTAATCCCAGCACTTCAGAAGGCTGAGGCAGGTGGATCACCTGAGGTCAGGAGTTCGAGACCAGCCTGACCAATATGGTGAAACCCCGTCTCTACTAAAAATACAAAAAAAAAAAAAAAAAATTAGCCGGGAGTGGTGGCACGCTCCTGTAGTCCCAGCTACTCAGGAAGCTGAGGCAGAAGAATCGCTTGAACCCAGGAGGCAGAGGTTGCAGTGAGCTGAGATCGCACCACTGCACTCCAGCCTGAGTGACAGAGCGAGACTCCTCCTCAAAAAAAAAAAAAAAAAAAAAAATTTGTTTTCTCATCTTTAAATTTCTTTAAAGGCTTATTAACTGTTTACAGCAAAAATGATAATGCCTTGTGGACTACATGTCAGATATAGAAAGAAGAAAAAAAGTATGACAACAATAGCACAAAGGCCAGAAGGAGAAAATGGGAGGTTTTTACATTATAAATAAAGAAGTTTAATATTATTTGAAGGTAAGCTGTGGTAAGTAAAAGATGCACATTATAAACCCTTGATCAATCCCTAAAAAGTAAAGGAAAGAGGTATATCTAATAAGCCAATTATTGGATAAATAATAAATGGAGCCATAAAAAATACTCAAAATAATCCAAAGTAGGTTTAAAAAAAAAAAAGGCAGAGGATGAAAGGAACTAAGAACAGATGGGACCAATAGGGAGGAAAACAAAAACAAAAACAAGACAGTGTACTTAAACCCAAGTAAATCAACATAATTATATTAAATATAAATTCTCTAAATCTTACAATTAGAAGGCAGAGATTCTCATCATGGATCCTTTTTTTTTTTTTTTTTTTTTTTTTTGTATTTTACTAGAGATGGGGTTTCACTGTGTTAGCCACGATGGTCTCGATCTCCTGACCTCGTGATCCACCCGCCTCGGTCTCCCAAAGTGCTGGGATTACAGGCGTGAGGGATCCTTTTTTTTTTTAAAGTAAGGCCCAACTGGCCAGACGAGGTGGCTCACGCCTGTAATCCCAGCACTTTGGGAGGCCGAGATGGGCATATCACGAGGTCAGGAGATCGAGACCATCCTGGCTAACACAGTGAAACTCCGTCTCTACTAAAAAAAATATAAAACATTAGCCAGCATGGTGGCAGGCGCCCATAGTCCCAGCTACTCGGGAGGCTGAGGCAGGAGAATGGCGTGAACCCAGGAGGCGGAGCTTGCAGCGAGCCAAGATCGCGCCACAGCACTCCAGCCTGAGAGACAGAGCAAGACTCTGTCTCAAAAAAAAAAAAGGAAGACCCAACTACATGTTACCTACAAGAAATGCACCTTACATATAGAAAGACATATTTACGTTGAGAGTGAAATGACAGAAAAAAGATATACTGTGCAAATTATGAGAGAGCTAAAGGGGCAACATTAATATCAAAGTTGACACCAAGAGAAGTACTATTACTAGGAATAAGGAAAAAAAACTGTAATGATAAAAATGTCAATTCTTCAAGAAAACATAAAAAAATCTAAAATGTCTAGGCACCTAATAACAGAGCTTCAAAATATATAAAGGAAAAACATCTGAAAAAGAAAAACAGAAATCCAAAATTATAATTGGAGACTTCAATAGGCCTCCTCTCAGCAATAGAACAAGTAGACATAAAATTAATAAGGATATAAAAAACATGAACACTATCAACCAAAATAACCAAATTGACATTTATAAAACATTACACCAACAGCAGCAAAATACTTTTTTTCCAAATGCACATGGAACATTCACTGAGAAAAACCATATGCTAGTCCATAAAACAGTGTTCAAGGAGAAATCTGTGGCTCTAAATATTTGTATGAGAAAGGCATAAAATCCAGCATGGGCAACATGACAAAACTTTGTCTCTACTAAAAAAAAAAATTAGCCAGGTGTGGTGGCACATGCCTGTGGTCCCAGGTACTCAGGTGTCTGAGGTGAGAGGATCACTTGAGCCCAGGACACTGAGGTTGCAGTGAGCTGTGATTGCTCCACTGCACATCAGCCTGGGTGACAGAGTGACAATGTGTCTCAAAATAATAATAAAAGGGCATAAAATCAGTGATCTAAGCATCTACCCTCAGAAGCTATAAAAGGAAGAAGAAATTAAACCAAAAGTAAATAGAAGAAAGGAAATAATGTGGAAAAGAGAAGAAATATTAATAGATAAGACATAAAACAAATTTGATAATACAGAAAAAAAGAAAACAAAAAGCTGGTTCTTTAAAGATTAGTAAAATTAACAAATGCTCATTAGACTAATCAAGAGGGAAAGAACAGACACACTACCAATATCAGGAAAAAAAAGGGGAGGCATTACCACACATTCTAAAAACACTAAAATGATAGGGGAATTATTACAGACAATTTTTGTGCCAATAAATAAAACTCAGGTTAAATGAACAAAATTCCTTTACCAAATTAACAAAGAAACAGAAAATCTGAACAACTCTATATCTATTAAAGACACAGAGGGCCAGGCGTGATGGCTCACGCCTATAATCCTAACACTTTGGGAGGCCAAGGCAGGTGGATCACCTGAGGTCAGGAGTTCAAAACCAGCCTGGCCAACGTGGTGAAACCCCGTCTGTACTAAAAATACAAAAACTAGCCAGATGTGTTGGTGCGCACCTGTAATCCCAGCTACTTGGGAGGCTGAGGCAGGAGAATATCTTGAACCTGGGTGGGGGAGGGGGGCGGAGGTTGCACTAAGCCAAGATGGCGCCATTGCACTCCAGCCAGGGCAATAACAGCGAAACTCCATCTCAAAAAAAAAAAAAAAAAAAAGACGTGGAATTCATGGTTTCAAACCTTCCCACAAGAAAATCTCCAAGGCAATATAGCTTCACTGGTGAATTCTATCGAACATCTAAGGAAAAAATATCACTAGTCCTGCACAAACTCTTTCAGAAAACAAAGGAGGGACTATTTCCCAAACTATTTTATGACACCAACATTAACCATGATACCAAAACCAAACAGAGATGATAAGAAATGTACACGCCAATATCCTTCATAAACACAGATGAAAAAACCATTAACAAAATATTAGCACATCAAATCTAATAACACGTAATAATAATACCATAAGCTTAAGTAAGGTTTGTCGTGGAATTCAAGCTTAGTTCAACATTTAGAAACCCATCAGTATAATTCACCATATTAAAAGAACAAAACCTATGATCATCTCAATAGATGCAGAAAAAACATTTAACAAAAATCAATACCCACCTTCACGGTTTTTTTTGTTTTTTTTTTTTTTTTTTTTTTTTTTGAGACAGTCTCACTCTGTCACCCAGGCTGGAGTGCAGTGGCGCAATACCTGCTTGCTGCAACCTTTGCCTCCTGGGTTCAAGAGATTCTCGTGCCTCGGCCTCCTGAGTAGCTGAGATTACAGGCGTGTGCCACCATGCCAAGCTAATTTTTTGTATTTTTAGTAGAGACGGGGTTTCGCCACATTGGCCAGGCTGGTCTCGAACCCCTGACCTCAAGTGATCCACCCACCTCGGCCTCCCAAATTGCTGGGATTACAGGTGTGAGCCCAGCCACTTTCACGGTATTTTAAAAACTAAGAATTAAAGAGAACTTTCTCAACCTTACGGGGATATCAGAAAATTCAAAGCTAATGTCAACAATGAGAAGAGTGAATATTTTCTGCCCAAGAACAGGAACAAGGTAAGGATGTACACTCTTACTACTTCTATTCAATACTGCCCTGTAGGTCCTAATCAATGCAATGAAGCAAGAAAAAGTAGTAAAATACAAATTACAAAGAAAGATATAAACCCATCTATAATTGCAGATAACATCATCACGTACGTTTTTTAAAATCCAAGGATTTACAAAAAAAGCTACTACAACTAATAAAGCTTAGGAAAGTTGCAGTATACAGAATCAATATCCAAAAATTAATGGCGTTTCTATAAACTAACAGTAAACATGTCAAAAAATACTCTCAAATGGCCAGGTGCAGTGGCTCACACCTGTAATCCTAGCACTTTGGGAAGTCAAGGCAGGCAGATCACTTTAGGTCAGGAGTTCAAGACCAGCCTGGTCAACATGATGAAACTCTGTCTCTACTAAAAACACAAACAAATTAGCCAGGCATGGTGGCATACACCTGTAATCCCAGCTACCATGATTCTCCTGGCTGAGGCTGGAGAACTGCTTGAACTAGAGAGGCGGAGGTTACAGTCAGCTGAGATCGCACCATTGCACCCAGCCTGGGTGACAGAGTGAGACTCTGTGTCCAAAGGGGGTGGGGGGGAATACTCTAAAATAATAGCCATTAAAACAGCATTGAAAAACACAACTTACTTAGGAATATATCTGATAAAAGTATGTTCCAGATCTATATACTAAGAACTACGGAACAATGTTGAGAGAAATTAAATATCTAGAGAAATGAAGAGCCAGACCATGTTCATGAACTGAAAGATTTAAAATCGTTAAAATGTCAATTTTCCCAATTTGATCTACAGATTCAATACAATCACAAATAAATCCCCACAGAAAAAAAATTTTTAATTGACACGCTGATCCTAAAACTTATATTGAAATGCAAAACACCCAGAAGAATCAATACAATTTTTAAAAGAACAAAGTCGGAGAATTTATCCTAATTTCAAGACATACTATAAAATTTCAGTAATCATCATAGTGTAGTACTGGCATAACAGACATGTAGATCAAAGGAACTGAATATAGAACCCAGAAAAAAGCAATGCACACATAGAGTCCATTAATTTTTAACAAAGATTCTAAGGTCATTCAATAAGTCTTCAACAAATGATGTTTAAATAGTTTGCTAAACGTATGCAAAACAAAACCAGAACTTCAATCCTCACCTCGCACCATGTAAATTAACTTAAAATAAGTTACTGGATTGCAAGCCTAAACCTAATTAACTAATGCTGTAAAACTTCTGGAAGAAATCATAAGAAAAAAACTTTCCTGCTTTGGGATGGCAAAGATGTCTTAGGACATGAAAAGTATAGATTTATAAAAGTAATACTTGACTTAATCAAAATTTAAAGCTTTTGTTATTCAAAGAAGACAGTGAGAAAATGAAAAGGCACACCACAAATTAGGAGAATACATTTGTAATACATCTATCTGCCAATGAACTTGTATCCAGGATATTCCAAGAATTCTTCCAATTCAGTAAGAAAACAACCTAATTTTTAAATTGGGCAAAAGATGTGAAGAGATATTTCCCAAAAGATATACGAATGACTTAATATGCACATGCAATGATGTTAAACTTCATCTGTTATCAAAAAATTACAAACTGAAATAAGTTACTACATACTGCACATCCCTAATTCAAAAATCCAAAATGCTCCAAAATCAAAACTTTTTGCATGCCAACATGACACTCAAAGGAAATTCCAAATTTTAAATTTTCAGAGTAGGGACGCTCAGCCAGTATAATGCAAATATGCCCAAATCTGAAAAAATCCAAAATCCAAAACACTTGTGGTTCCAAGCATTTTAGATAAAAGATTCACAACATGTACTACACGCCACAAGGATGGCTGAAATTTGTAAAAATTCATTGTACTACATGCTGCAAGAATGCAGAGCAATTAGAACTCCTATAAAACTCATGGGATATTAAATGATACAAACATTTTATTTTTTGCAAGTTTGGCAGTTCTTTATAAAGTGAAACTCCTAGTTATTTACAGAAATAAAAACATATGTCCCACACAAAAAGCAGTACATTAATTTTCACAGCCAACAGCAAATTGTGGCATATCCAAAAAAGAGACTACTATTTAGCAAAAAAAAAAAAAAACCCTACTTAAGCAATAATATGAAACCAGAAATAAGGATTACATACTATATGATTCCATTTATTAAAAATTCTAGAAAGGGCAAAATGATTCTACAGTAACAGCAGATTGGTAGTTGCCTGGAGGGGAGGAAGGCTGAGGGGCAAGGGGGAGACCCTGACTGCAAAAGGACATGTATGAACTTTTTTGCATCATAAAAATGTTCTCTACTTTGATTTCAGTGGTTTCACAGATATACACATTTGTCAAAATTATGAAACCGTACACTTAAAGTGAGTATATTTTATTGTATGTAAAGTATACCTCAATAAATGTAATAAGAAATGTATGTATTAATGGAAGAATACATGTAAACAATCTCTCAAAGAAAACAAACTACTTTTTTTTTTTTTTTTTTTTTTGAGATGGAATCTTGCTCTGTTGCCAGGCTGGAGTGCAGTGGATTGATCTCAGCTCACTGCAACCTCCACCTCCCAGGTTCAAGCGATTCTCCCACCTCAGCCTCCAGAGTAGCTGGGACTACAGACGTGCGCCACCTCGCCCAGCTAATTTTTGTATTTTTAGTAGAGACGAGGTTTCACCATGTTGGCCAAGATGGCCCCAATCTCTTGACCGCCCACCTCGGCCTCCCAAAGTGCTGGGATTACAGGCATGAGCCACCGTGCCCAGCCCAAAACAAACTACTTTTAATAAAACCAAAGTATCATCTTGCACATCTCCTGGTAAGTGTAAATCGTTTAGAGGTATACACAATATTTTCAAATAAATTATTTTCATGTCTGACTACTTCAGGACACTGATTAAATGATTTGTATTTGTTAACCTTAACTATAAGAGAATTCTTGTGAAATTTCTGGGAATTGAACTATTTAATGAAGTTCATTAGTGATATTAAGATGGTTTGCTTCTCAGCTGCAGTAACAGACTATAAACAGAAACGTATATTATTTACGAGGCAGGCACTGTCTACACAAACATGAGTGGCTCCTTCCCCCATAGTAACATACACTTTACACTGCTGTGGATAACAACATGCCCACTTAAAGAACTACATCTCCCAGCCTCCCTGCAGTTAAGTAAGGCCTTGAAGTATGGCCAGAAGTGTTGTAGGCAACTTCCTGGAGGTTTCCTTAAAGGACGGTGTGTCCTTCCCACATTTCCACCTCCTCCTAACCTAGAATGCAACCTTGATGACTGGAGTCTGAATAGCCATCTTGAACTATATGCCATAAACTAAGAACAGTGTAGTAACAAGACAGAAAGAGCCCAGATCCCTTGACAACCAAATCAGTTGTAAAATGCAGGCCTCCAAGCTGCCTGTACAGAAAAAGAGATTACTTTTTAAGCTATTTGTCTATTTTTAAATAAGCATATGATTGTGATACTAAATCATTTTGACATTATTTTAATAACTGGCTTTTACTTTAAAAAAAACTGAAAGACTTTTATCGAGGTGATCATTTTTATTTTTTAGATCACATGGTTATGTAGGTTTTTTAACCTTGCCCCAGTCATCAATCAAAACAATAAGCTATCTTTATAATTTTTCATTTTCCAAATGATTCCTCAATTTGGAACAGTCTAAGACAAAAAAAAATCTATTTCCCTATCTCTGGGAAGAAATTGTAGGCTGTATATTACTCCATTAATCTCTGATGAAACTTTAAAAAAACGTAAACTGTATTATCACTCCATTAATCTCAGGCAAATCTATATGCTCCAGTGATTTCTACCTTAGCACTTGTACTAAATTATATGGTCTACACTGCTAATTTTCAAAAGGCTCGAAAAAGAAAGAGACCAATAATGTTTGGAATAGCTACGAGGAGCTTCACTGAAGTCCTAAAAGAATTTAGATAGAAGAAAGAAAAACATAAAATACAAATGTACTACTGGTTAAAAGTTCAGGCTTTGAATCAAGAGATTCAGCTCCTGTGTGACCTTGGACAAGCTACTTAAATTTCTTGTTTCAGTTTTCTTATCTGAAAAATGAGAATAGTAGACTCTACCTCAAAAGGATCTTGTGAGCATGAGAAAATGCATGTAGCTGGTAGTTAAGCAGTGCACGCCTGCAGCAAGCACTCTTTACAAACAGCAAAAGCTCTGAGGTGAGAACATGTAAAGGTCTGACTTGAAATACAGATTCCTTTTAGTGAGTGGTTGGAAATTTTATTATAAAAAGAAAAAGAACGGCCGGACACGGTAGCTCACACCTGTAATCCCAGCACTTTGGGAGGCCGAGGTGGGCGGACCACCTCAGGTCAGGAGTTCGAGACCAGCCTGGTCAACATGGTGAAACCCCGTCTCTACTAAAAATACAAAAATTAGCCTGGCATGGTGGCATGCACTTGTAGTCCCAGCTACTTAGGAGGCTGAGGCGGGAGAATCACTTGAACCCGGGAGGCAGAGGTTGCACTGAGCGAGATTACACCACTGCACTCCGGCCTGGGCGACAGAGTGAGACTCCATCTCAGAAAAAAAAAAAAAAAAAAGGCTTTTTAGAGATTAAACACTTGAAAAATAAACTCACAGAAGAAATCTGGATACCCATATAGATGAAAAGATGCTCATAATCTCACGAGAAATCCAAAAATTGAAAATTTAAATATTGAGGGTTTTTTTTTTTTTTTGTAGAGGCAGAAGTTAAAATGAGTAAGTTCCATTACAGGCAGGGACAGAAAAAAATAGGCATTATATATTGTCCATAGAAATGTAAACTGACACATCTTTTTAAACTGTTTATAGCTATAGCTTTCCAATTTTAATGTATAACTGTACTACACAGCAAAAAATTGAAAGAATCTTAACGTTTCTCATAGTTGATGGTTAAACAAACAATAGTACATCCATCTTATGAAACAGGATACAACTGCTCAAAAACATAATAAAAATGAGTAAACTATATCTAAATTTACTGACATAAAAATACTTGAAGACAATGTTAAGCGGAAAAAGCACATTGCAGGAAAAGGTGGAGAATTATTTCTTATCTGTAATTTTTTTAAGTACAAATCTGTCCATCACCAACAGAATGCATAAACTGCGATATACGAGAACTACAACTGTAGAATTGTGGGAACATAACATTAAAGGCAGTTTGCAAAAGAATACGATTCAATATTAAAAGTCCAAAAACATGTAAAAATATACATATAAATACATATGTGATTAAAACTTTAAAAATTAAAGAATGATACACATGAAATTGAAGTAAGAGTTACTTCTGAAGGGAGAGAAAAGAGAATGGGAGAGGAAGAGCACACACAGGACTCCGTAAGTGGTGAAAAGTTCTTTCTCTTAAACTGCGTATTAGGTACATGGGTGTTCATTGTACCATGAATCTTTCTACCTTATGTGTGATTTACACATGCTCTGTTTATCTATTCAATATCTAATAAAACAATTTTGACACATGCAAAAGCAAGAAAAAAAAATCTGGAATAATACAAATTAAACCTCTGGAAGTTACCTTCCTGAAGGTGAGGGGAGGGATCCTTCATGTTTTGTGTTAGACACTTCCATACTGTTTGAAGCTCACACTAATTACATAAAATTGTATAAAATTTTTAAAAGAAATTACTTTTCCACTAAAATTGTAATTATGAAAATTATAAGCACATGGGAAATGTTAGTGAGTACAGCTGAATAAAGAATTCTATTTACACTGTGATTACATCTATGTACAAAAATGTGCACATTAACAAGAACAGAAGAAGAATTGGGGTAAATCTGATCTAATGGAGCGGCTGGAACATGGACAAATGTTTTACAGTTTTCATTTCTTGGAAGTTGTATTTCTTGGAAATATTTGGTATTTCATTAGTACTACCTCACTTGGAGAGAAAGTAAAGAAAAATGACAACTGCGGGAAAGCCAACTCTTTACCTTCAGGGTAGCCAAGTGAAAAACCTCCCCACATACGAAGGCTGAATTAATTTACAGCCAATCTACAATGGATAGTACACGCTGTGCCAATAAGTGCACTCAGAACAACTGGAAAGGGTCCCCACCACACCAAGGAGATTACATCAAAAGGTTCTGAAGCGCATATGTCCATTTTAGCGCTTAACTGAGCACTGGTGATGCACATAAAGTCCAACAGTCAGGGTTGCACTCCTGAACACGAGGAACCCAGGAATGTGCTGAGGAAAAGGGGGTATGGAGAGAGAGGCATGGAACGAGGAAGGAAAAATTTCTCCAACATGTGAGGCAAAAAATACAACATGGCATAACAATTACGCTCTCAATAACAAAAAAAATATTGTGCACTCAGAAAGCTAAGTGTCACGGAAACAAAGAATAGAATGATAGGAACAAAAATTTGAAAGAAACCAAAATCAAAACAAGCAATAAGTACCAATGATAAACACTGGTTTGTGGTCTCTACAAATGCCCCCGCTATTCTATCCACTGGTTCCCCAAATCTGGCCATTTCCACAAAGGCATGAAGGAAAACAGATGGAATGTCTATTTCACCCTCTTACCAAAAATATCACTGATTTGAAATTAATATAAACAAAACCTTCATGTAAAAAATTAAACGAGAATATCCCAAAGCAGATCTGCAGTAGGAAAATGCATCTGCTTTCTGGGCTTACCACTATTAAAAGTAGATGCTCTAGGTAACAAAGGCTGATACAGAGCCAACTGCTGTTAGGTTACCCTTCCCCTGCCCACCTTTTCTTTCTTCCTATTAGGACTTTTCCATGCCCATTTCTTATAACTAAACTTGCATGAATCTTCCCCTGCCAAAATTCACACCTCCAATCACCACCGTCTCTACCCACGACCTGCCAAAGGCCCCACTCTACCCATTGCACCAGACTTGCCTTCTCCTATCTTCCCCACCTTTTTTCTGCCCCTCCCTTCCCTTATAAAACCTACTCTTATTGTCTCAAATATTTTCTGTAGGCTGGGCATGGTGGCTCATGCCTGTAATCCCAGCACTTTGGGAGGCCAAGGCAAGCGGATCACTTCAGGTCAAGAGTTCAAGACCAGCATGGGCAACACAGTGAAACCCCGTGTCTCTATAAAAATACAAAAATTAGCCGGGCATGGTCATGGGTGCCTGTAGTCCCAGCTACTCAGGAGGCTGAGGTGGAAGAATCACTTGAACCTCAGAGGCGGAGGGTGCAGTGAGCCGAGATTGTGCCGCTGTACTCCAGCCTGGGCAACAGAAACTCAGTCTCAAAAAAAAAAAAAAAAAAACTCTGGAAACAGGCAGATTATAAGTGCTAACGTTTGTTTTCACTTTCTTTTCACTACTCCTTGCTTTAAAACTTTGATTTCTGTAGGGTTTAAAAGCAAGAACCCAGGCTCAGTGAATACTTTCTTATATACACAATTGTGATCAAAGCTTAAGTCTACTGTTTAACAACTTCAGCAGATAGATATTGCCAACTGTTCCTCCCCGTTTTGCATACACAAGAATGCAAATGCCATAAAACCAAGAACATCTGTTTATCATCTGATTCCTGTTCTATGGCATATTTATAATTGATCACCAAAGCCTGTCAACTCTACCTCCAAAATATTACACGATCTATTTCCTTCTCTCCATTCCTACTGGCCCTGCGTTATTTCTCACACCTAGACTGTTCTAAGAGCTTCTTCCTGCCTTTGGTTTTTCCCCTATGACAATCCATACTCCACAGGGCCCACATGGGTTTTCTCTCTAAAACATAAATCTGATCATGCCATTATCCTCTTTAAAACAGTTCAGGCATTCCTCTGTGCATACAGAATTAACTCCCAATTCCTTCATGTCCTTCAATTGGCCATCAAACATCACATTATCTTCTACCTATTAAAAAATAGGTATTAAAGAAAAGGTAAATTTAATAAAAGAATATTTGCAATGATGTCTAAAAATGTATGGTCTGTTATTGTATTATTTACATAATTATTTATATAACTAAAAAATTCATTCATCTCCATCATACAATATTACCACCAAACTCAAACTTTTACAAATGGCTAAAGAGTTATGTTCACATAACATACTAAAACTAGACTGGGCTGTTTTACTTATTTCTATTTTCAATTCCAAAATTAAAATATAAGATAGATTACAAGGAATCTAAATCAATAGATATTTTCTAAAATGGGTGTTAACATATATAACTAAATTTCTCACAGCTTTCTGGAAATTGTTAAAGTCAGCTCTGTGGGTTCTTAACAGCATATCACACCTACCATATGAGAAAGTTTGGCAACAAAATCAAAGTTACTTTAGAAGATAAACGCCTACCTTAGTGAGTCCCACTTGTTTTTCCATCTGGAATATTCCTTGAGTTTACCATATAAACCACTAACACAAGCTACTCATCTTAACATTCATTAGAATAGTTTCCTAGAATAGGTAATTCTTCTACTTCAAATCAAATTTATACAATTTACTAAAGTCAGCTTATTAGCTTATATATAACAAACTATGGATTCTCATGAGAATCATTCCGCTGTTTAATTAAATGTTATAGGATCTTGCAGATTCAAGAATAGCACCATCTGTCTGGGTTGCAAAGCTCAGTTTCACAACCTTATCACCAAATAGCAACAAAATATCATCTTCATACATATCTCTCTCAAGTAATTTGTAGACAACTAAAGAATGTAGTCTATTTGGGATCATGAAACCTGATTCAATCTGTGCAGATGATTACACTTTTCAAGTTAAAGCGACATACTTTGAACACTGTGTTTTTAGTAACTTAAATGTTAGTTAAGAACTTGTATCTCAGGAGGCAAATATTTGTGCTCTTTAGTTGCTAAGATGAAGATTCATGCTCTGATATAAATTCTAAATGCTAAATGGCTCAGGTGTCATAAATCTGAAAATTTTTGAAGTACCTTTTCTTATTTTTTTAGAATAACTATTATGTAGCTAAATTTTCCTAAAATATCTATAGCTCTAGGATTACATCACAACGCTTTCTGACAGGATTCCCATTCTCTTTTATTATGTAAAAAAAACTAAAAAAAGAATTATAAATTAAACTATGTAATCTGAAGACCAAAAAAAGTAAAACTGACTGAGAAAAGGTCTAAAAATCTCATTATATTTCTGAATTGAAAAACAGAAATAATACTTGCCACTGCAACTTGTAATCTAAACAACTAGTAGAGACATCCCTACTACAGGTAAAGGGTCGTCTGCACCTCCTCCCACACTAACTATTCAGGCAGACTACTATGAAGTATAATTCCAAATTCTATTGTGCTAATCTCCAACTGTGGAAGAAATTACTGAGACAACATGTGTGGGCTAGCTACTAGCTATCTTACTAGGCAGTCTCCAATGAATAAGGCAACACCAAGTGGTCAAAGGTAAGAAGTTGGATATCACACAAACCAAACTTCAGTTTAAACCTTAAGAGATTATCTCAACAGGATACATTTATTTATATATCCCAAGGCTCTAAAATGAGCCTCAATTTGATGTCTGACTCTTGCTAGTCAGACAGAGAGAAGACACAACACAGAATTCTACTCTACCCTTAGGATAATTTGCCTTGATCCTCAAAAAGCAAAAATACCACCACCACTTAATTGGTCCCAATATCCTGTCTTGCCAATCAATGGATTGCTAAACCCACCTCCACTGAAGCTGTATGAAAACAAAGTACACTGAATCGCTAGACTCAGAACCTGAGAAGGCAGAGGTTCAAGCAAGGCTGGAATTCCTGGCATACATCCACAACGTATGTATGCCAACATACCCAAAATGGAGCTTTCCCTGGGCTTTCACTCATCAGCAGCAAGGCCCTCATCAGAAGGGTATTAAACTGTTAACTCTTAGGCAGCAGTTTAGAGCAAAAAGCAGAACTAAAATAATAAACTGCAAAGAGAGAAGACACTGACTAAAGAGGCAACCCTTAAAATAAGATTTTCTGGGGCAGCCAACTAAACTGTCTCTAAAAGCAATTCCAAAGGAAAAGGACAAAAAAAATTATAAACAATGGCAACATCATTTGATCCATTTCAAGGGGGCCTACTTTGAACAATACTCCTCATTTCAGCAGATATATCTCAGTTCTGATATGTCTAGTTCAAAATCAGTTTTATACTTGTGAAATTGTAACTTTAAAACCTTTAAAGGAAGGTAACAAAAATAAAATGATTGCTGCAATCAACTAACAAAATGGAAAATTTCTAGCTAAAATTTTTAAAAATTGATTTTGTTTATTCGGCCTGAAGCTCACTACTTTTAATCCTTGAACTCAAAAAACACTCAAGTTACAAGATTGAGATTGTTTCCCACTTCCTTCACACTTATTCCTTTCTTAGATCATCACATCTTGTATTTCTAAGAGGTGTCTTCATCTTTTCTAGCACTAACACTATCGGCTGGGTTTTTGATAACCATCCTCCAGCCAGGCTTGTTTTATCAACTTTCCTTGTATCTTCCATCTTTCCTTCTGTCTTTCCACTATTGATGCTCCAAAGTCAACAAACACAAATCTACCTTTCAGGCTCTTACCCTCCCCTACTCCCCCATTCCTGCTTGCTTCACAATCAACCTTCTGAATCAAACTTAAAAGTAAGCTGCACACAATGGTGCACGCCTGAAATTCCAGCTACTCCAGAGGCTGAGGCAAGAGGATTACTTGAGTCCCAGAGTTCAAGCCCAGCCTGGGTAACACAGCAAGACCCCACTGCCCATCAAACCACCATCTCTAGATTGATTAGACAGACAGACAGATAGAACTGAAAAGTGTCTGTACTGGCTTACCTTGCCATTCATTCACTCCTCAACCCACTTATCCAAGATTCTACCCTCAACAGTCAAATGTAATTATTTGAACTACCAAGCTGCCCAAATAGCAAACCTTCCCTCTCTTTCACTCCTTACACCTCTCCCCTTCAAGGTTCACCACGATTGTCTCTGAAAATCACCATTATTTCATTTCTTTACCTTTAAGTCAGAGAAAGCAAATTAGATTGTCTATTTAAAGCACATATAACCTATACCTTCACAACTTAAAAGCCTAGGCTTCATAAGAAGTAATCTTAAACCAAAATCGAATTTGTTTTCAATGCACAGAATTTAAACAATGAAGGGTTACACAGTTCAACAATTCTAATTTGTCTGTGTAAGACAGCAGTCCTAGAAAGGCTTTTAAACACATTATTAAATGTAATACCATTTAACACACTTGTTTTTCCTCAATTCACTTCTCATAATAGTTTCTATATCGTCTTGGATTATCTCCCGTTTTAGTTTCATATCCCATCTGCTCATTTGAGATTCACGTCTGTCCAGTTTCTGAAATATTTGTCACTTTAGTCATTAGCATTTTGCGTAATATAGCACTTTTTTTAAAGTTCAGAACTGATTTTAGAAAACTGAAAATTATTTTAACATCATTTCTTAATCTAAATTGGCCTGCCCACACTTCAAATTTTCCACCTAATAAAAATTCAATTTCAATAAGTCTTTGTACTGTTTTTTAAAAGAAAGCCAAGAACCAGGACCATAAATTAGAAGTGTTCTCCTACATACCACCTCAATAAAGATCCTCAAGAATAAAGACTAAAAATTGTCAAGCTTCCAAAGAATGCCCTTCCCCTTCTTCTCTAGCAAGCCACATCCATCCATTCCTTCAACATCCAGTTTTATTACTCCCCTTTCAGGTTTCTCTGGCTACAAAGTATTATCAGATATTATGCGGTCCATGTCACTCTCCCTCTGCAGAAATTAAATAGTGCATGCAGATCTTTTTTCCGCATATCAGTCTAGCCCTTTTGTTAACCCAAGCTAGATTTTAATAATTTCTGATGTACATTATTCCAAAATACATGTCTCAAATTTCTCAAACATAGCGTACAAAACATTAACATTTCTAAGTATTTGTTTACTGGCTACCCCGTCCAATCTCAGCCCTAATTCCCTTTTCATCCCATTGGATCTCAGAAGTCCTCATTTAGCAAACGTAATAGCCAGCAGAAAGCTTGTCTCCAGGGCTGAGTGAAGGAGGAGAGGAAAGAGAAGGGAAGTGCTAAAATGCAAAGAAATACAGAATCTTTTCCTGATGACATCACAGAACCTGCCACTAGTATCAGCAAAGAGAAAGCAGCAGTGGGTGCCCACAAGCAGGGAAAGGAAAACCTGCCTTCAAAACTGCTGCTCTTCCCACAGGGAGCCATCCTCACCTCTCCACACTCTTCCACACAGCAATCCTCTCCTTGGCCTAGAAGAGGAGCTATAGCTCCCGCTCTGACTGCCAGGACTATAAGTCAGAGAAAAGGTGCTCCTGACACCCTACATGAGAACACTAAGCATAAGTTTATTCCCACAAAAATGCTGCTATAAATAGCATTTGAGTTTTATAATAGACCTAATTAAGTACAATATACAAGGTAAATAGGCTAACCATCATTTGTAGCAAGAGATGGGAGTTTTTTTGTGAAAACAAACTTACAAATTAACTTTTTCTAGTATTTTAGAACACAGGAGACCACCTACATGTAAAATTCTAAACCTCTAGATACAACTTAAGACACTATTCATATTCAACATGACTAATACAAACGCTACAGATTCGTGGGAGGGCTTTCCTTCCTTCAACAAGCCTAAACAATATTTTTAGATACTGCCACATTATTAAACAGAAAATAGAAATTAGCCAGTAGCTGAGTTCTCTCTGTTCAAAACACAGTAAGGGTTGTGACATGTGTGTCAAACTAAAACATGATTTAGTCTTTAAGAAGAAAAATATATTTATTAAGTACTATTCCTGACATTCCCTGAGACAAATCTCAAAGTGTTAATAGAACTGCTATTTAAAGTTCAAAGAGCACTCCAGAACTGCCAAGGAATTAATAGCTTAAACTACCAAATAAGAGCCACGGTTCAATTCCCAATCTCAGCCAGCTATAGCTCAGAGTTGGTACAGCAAAATCACCCAGCGCATTAAAGGCACACCATGCAACTGTGAATCATATATGGTTGTAACGAAAAACTGTTAAAAACTAAAAATGAATTTCAAGTTTTTCTTCTCAATCTTGGCTTATTTACGAGGAAAGACACAAGAACAATTTAATCCTCTGCTCCCTAGAAAAAAATACAAACACAACATAAATGCTATACTTAAAACAAGTCATTTTACCATTCCAATCTCCTGGTTAACTGCCTCGGGCTACTCTATAACTTTAGTTGTAATTTACTAAAGGTCTCTTCCTACTAAAGAACATCATCTAGTCATCCAAAGCGCTTTCCTTAAAAGGTACTCAAAATGATTTTTCACGCCTCCTGCCCTCCAACACCAAGTTTACAGGAGAAACTGAGGCACAGAACTATTACGTGATCATACTAGTAAAAATGTTTAATACAACTCAAGTTTCCCTACTACCAGGTTATTTCCCATTTTACTGGGCTCATAGAAAACAATCTTTTGAATGTTGAACAAAAGCACTGCTATACAGCTTAAAGAATGAAAGTAAAGGAATTCTGGATCAAGCCCCCAAACAAAATCCCCAGAAGGCTCAAAAATCTATAGGTTGCCTACTATGCTACAGAAAATCTAAACACTAAATGAATTCTTATTCCTTTGAGGAGTAAGAACATGTCTCATGATCAGTTGGAATTGTCTTTAATAAGGAAATTCTAGAATTCATCTAAAATATTACCAAGCCACAGTACATACAGTCTAGATAAAATATATTCAGAACACAGAGTTAATCATCAAAATAAGCTGAAATAAAAACAGCATACTTGTGATCAAGACCCAAATGGTCAATAAGAGCTCCCTTGAGGAATGGAGAATAATCGTCCAGGAATTCCATCACTTAACAGATAGTTAATGAGCACCTAGCAAAGATGATTTCAACAGGGTCACTCTCCTGCAGAAGCTCATCTGATGATCAGAGGTACACAGAGGGAGGTAGGGGGTAACTAGTTCTGCCTGTGGTGGTCAGAGGAGGTAACATTTGAACTTCTTAAGTAGCATTGTGCCAGGCTTACATGCAGGCACAAATACTAGGAGCTAGTTCCAAATGTTCCAGTTAGATATATGTATGTTTTTCCTTATTTCTCTTTAGGGCATGAAAATTCAATAGTCAGAATTGTCAACATAAAATGTTTTTTGTCAAACCAATTATACTCTTCTGAATACCTTATTAGTGCTCATATTAAGTTCAGATAAATTTAATCATCCTTCTTAATAATATTGAAATGAGGAAGCCTCCTGTATTATACTCAAAAATACTTCCTCATACTCACACCTGTAATCCCAGTACTTTGGGAGGCCAAGGCAGGAGGATCATTTGAGGCCAGGAGTTTGAAACCGCCTGAGCAACATAGTGAGACCCTATCTCCCCTCCTCCCAGCAAAAAAAAAAAAACACTTCTTCATAAATTTGTCAAATGTTTTTTAAGGGAGAAGAAAAGATCACAATAATTCTTATTCAGTTTAATATCCTTTTAGATTACCAATTTTTGAAATTTCTACTCCCCACCATAAAACTTGTTTACAATTACATATTTTATTTGAAACAAGTCTGTCACTCCAATTTAATTTTAATATCAAATGTCTTAAATACATTCAACTCAGTGACTTAATACAAATTAAGAATTATTAAGTAAAAAGATCTAATGAAGACTTAAATATTTTCCTGCTTTATCTTCTCCTATCAATTTTTTTTCCCCATCAACTTTTATTTTAAGTTCTGGGGTACATGTGCAGGTTTTGTTACATAGGTAAACATGTGCCATGGTGACTCGCTGCACAGATTAACCCATCACCTAGGTTTTTTGGTTGTTTTTGTTTTGTTTTGTTTGAGACAGTCTCGTTCTGTCATCAGGCTGGAGTGCAGTGGCACAATCTCGGCTCACCGCAACCTCCAACTCCCTAGTTCAAGCGATTCTCCTGTCTCAGCCTCCCAAGTGGCTGGGATTACAGGCACACACCACCACGCCCAGCTACTTTTTGTATTTTCAGTAGAGACGGGGTTTCACCAAGTTGGCCAGGATGGTCTCAATCTCCTGACCTCATGATCAGCCAGCCTCGGCCTCCCAAAGAGCTGGGATTACAGGCCTGAGCACCGCACCCGGCCTATCATCTAGGTATTAAGCCCAGCATCCATTAACTATTCTTCCTGATGCTCTCCCTCCTCCCCGCCCCCCCAATCTACTTTTAAAGTTAAAGCCACAAATTTAAACTATGCAAAAAAAAAAAAAAAAAAAAAAGACACTAATGAAATTTTGATGCACTCAACTCAAGAGGATCCTTTAACAGTAATGGAGGCAGGGAGCAGCGGCTCATGCCAATAATCCCAACATTTGGGGAGGCTGCGGTGGGAGGACTGCTTGAGCCCACTGCACTCCAGCCTTAGTGACACAGGGAGACTGTCTCAAAAACAAAACAAAACAAAACAGACAAAAAAGAAAAACAGTAATGGAGTTTTACTATACTGAAAAATAGTACAAAATGTAGAAAGCTGTCAGCCAAGGCTCTGCGCTATTTCAAAGTAGTAGAAATACAGTTTTAATTAGATTCTACACCACAATTCATCTAGAATGAGAAATAAACACTGAGAAATATACATAGTAAACCAGAGTATGGAAATGCCAATGAAATAACATTTTGCCTTGGACACAACTGACTCTCCTGTCATCTAGAAAGAAGTCAATGAAAAAATACAAGGCAGTTTTCTTTTTTTTTTTCAAACTAGAATCAAAATATATTCTAAAAAGCACTTTATTAACTTAAAAAAAGGAGGACAACTCTACTCCAACAAAGATAACCAAAACATGCTAATATAAATGCAAGAAAAACAGGAGTTCCTAAAGGAGGATTATTACAGCTAATATGTGAGGATAAAATCTATTCTATACCACAGATAATTTTTTTTTTTTTTTGAGACAGACTCTCGCTCTGTCGCCAGACTGGAGTGCAGTGGCACCATCTCGGCTCACTGAAACCTCTGCCTCCTGGAATCAAGCGATTCCCCTGCCTCAGCCTCCCAAGTAGCTGGGACTACAGACGCGCACCACCACACCCAGCTAATTATTTTCTATTTTTAGTAGAGACGGGGTTTCACCATGTTGGCCAGGATGGTCTCAATCTCCTGACCTCGTGATCCGCCTGCCTTGGCCTCCCCGCAAAGTGATGGGATTACAGGCTTGAGCCACCACGCCCAGCTAGATAATCTTAAAGTTCAGTAATAAAACAAGGGAGTAAAGGAACACGAATTTTAAACTATTTTTCTATCAACTAAAGCAAAGACAGAAAACGCTGATGTACATGACTTCATACTAAACAAAAATTGGGCAAGCATACATATTTCATTCATGCAAATGAGTCTGAATTTACAATTCGTTTATGTTAATATTTACTAAGATTAATGAAATATCATCTCCCCTATGTAATGAAGTGAATTCCCCCAACAGAACAAAGCTAACACCTTTAAATCTTTCAAATAAACAATGAAAGTATATATACTATAAAAGAAAATTATCAGCCGGGCGCGGTGGCTCGAGCCTGTAATCCCAGCACTTTGGGAGGCCGAGGCGGGCGGATCACAAGGTCAAGAGATAGAGACCATCCTGGCCAACATGGTGAAACCCCATCTCTACTAAAAAATACAAAAATTAGCTGGGCATAGTGGCGCGCGCCTGTAGTCCCAGCTACTCGGGAGGCTGAGGCAGGAAAATCGCTTGAACCCAGGAGGCGGAGGTTGCAGCGAGGCGACTTCGCACCACTGCACTCCAGCCTGGTGACAGAGCGAGACTCCGTCTCAAAAAAAAAAAAAAAAAAAAAAAAAAAGAAAGAAAATTATCTGAACAAGCTCAGAAAGAAGTTAAATGACTCAAGAGGGGGGAAAATGTCCTAAATTCCAAGAACACATACAAATACTGATTCGCTAATTCTGAAACTCTAAGCAAGTCTTATGAAACAAATACGTGTGTGTGTGTGTGTGAGTGTGTGCGCTAGAATACTATACAGACTTTTAGGCTACCCAACTACCTCACTTTGAAATACATTAAATATAATTTCTTAAAATAGAAATGTTATTATGACAGGCACGCCTGTAATCCCAGCACTTTGGGAGGCCGAGGCGGGAGGATCACGAGGTCAGGAGATCGAGACCATCCTGGCTAACATGGTGAAACCCCATCTGTACTAAACATACAAAAAAAAAATTAGCCAGACATGGTGGCAGGCGCCTGTAGTCCCAGCTACTCGGGAGGCTGAGGCAGGAGAATGGCGTGAACCCGGGAGGCTGAGGCAGGAGAATGGCACGAACCCGGGAGGCGGAGCTTGCAGTGAGCCGCGATCGCGCCACTGCACTCCAGCCTGGGCCACAGAGCCAGACTCCGTCTCAAAAAAAAAAAAAAAAGAAACGTTATGACAAAACAGAAATTCTGGTGGCCAACATCACACAACAGTTTGTAAATCAGATCTGCACAAAATACATCTGAAATAAATGACACTAATAACAATGTTGCATGTATTTTTTTCTTCATTTCTACGGTTGCAATGCACAGTTCAATAACAGTAATACCTAATAGTCAACCATACTACTAATTCTCATAAAATCTGTCTAATCTGGCTAACTGGTTAGCTCCTGTGAAATAAATGTATCATTCACTTTCAAAAAAAACACACACACACACAAATCAGTACTCCTACTACTAGCTTAAAGAAGGGGAACATTGTTATTATTGTTATTTTCTTCAATCAAAAATAAGTCGAATGTTTCAAAAAAAATCTACTCTATCTTTGATTCAAAGTTGAGAGACAGCTGAATTAACTGTTCATAAAAAATAAACAATTTTTCTGTTGTCTGTTTCTCTATAAATATGTAAATAGTAATATTTACATATTTTCATTGAGATGAGTTTCATCTCAATTTTAAATTATTAGGCAAAAATAATTATAGAACAAAATTAACTTAGTTATCACAATTTATAGCACTAGTACAAACTGGTGAGAGAGATCTCTGAAAGTGGTAAGGAATACAATTAAAAACCAGGCTGGCCGGGCGCAGTGGCTCATGCCTGTAATCCCAGCACTTTGGGAGGCCGAGGCAGGCGGATCACAAGGTCAGGAGTTCCAGAGCAGCCTGACCAACATGGCGAAACCCCATTTCTATTAAAAACACAAATAAATTAGACAGGCATGGTGGCAGGCGCCTGTAATCCCAGCTCCTGGGAGGCTGAGGCAAGAGAATCCCTTGAACCCGGGAGCTGAATGTTGCAGTGAGCCAAGACTTCACCAGCCTGGGTGACACAGTGGGACTCTGGTCTCAAAAAAAAACCAAAACAAAAAAAAAAAATGATAAGCTATATAAGCACCTGGCATAAATTCAATAAATACATACTATCCTAAACACACCCCCTTGCCCATTCTTCTCACAAAGAATAGGCCCTACCTAACTTCTTCCCAGTGAGTACTTCAAGCAACATCCACAGCAAAATATTTGTAGCATACAGGCCTAAGGTACATTATTGTCTCTTTAAAATTATGAACTCATCACACATACAAATGGCTCTTTAAAACAGTCCAGTAAACTGCTACACTATGCCTTAAATTGCTGTCTATTATGTACTTAAAAATATTTACTAGCAATTGGAGGTTAATATGGCAACTATTACCGGGTGGCAATTATTGCTATTAAAAATATATAAATACTGTAACACCATGTGCTACTAACAACAAAATGCTAAACCGAAAACATACATTAACAAATTGTAAATATTTTCATTACAGAAAATGATAGCCAGGCGTAGTGGCTCATGCCTGTAATCCCAGCACTTTGGGAGGCTGAGGCAGGTGGATCACCTGAGGTCGGGAGTTTGAGACCAGCCTGACCAATATGGAGAAACCCCGTCTCTACTAAAAATACAAAATTAGCCGGGCGTGGTGGCACATGCCTGTAATCCCAGGTATTCCGGAGGCTGAGGGAGGAGAATCGCTAGAACCTGGGAGGCAGAGGTTGCAGTGAACTGAGATGGCACCTTTGCACTCCAGCCTGAGCAACAAGGCGAAACTCCGTCTCAAAAAAATAAAAAATAAAAAGAAAGAAAATGAACCATCATGGAAAAAAATGCTTTAAACATAAATTATAAAATCACAATGAACTGGTACAAAAAAATACCTTGTGTATTTTGGCACTTTGAAAATTAGAGAAATCATTCCCTTTTCCTAATTTCCATTTTATAGTCCACCCTATTTTGTTCTAGCGCAAAAAAAAAAAAAATTCAGACTTTCTACATTTACAACTACCTTCCCATTCTGCAAAAAAATCCCTTAAGACAAAAAGAAAGTAGGTCAACAATAGATTACCTTAAAAGCTTCAAATATAGAACTAATGGTCTTCAATAGGAATTATGTACTAATGGGTGTACTAGTGTCTCAATTCAGCAAGAATTTGAGATTATCACCCAATTATCCATAGTCAGGAAGATTCTAAGCAAATAAAACATGAAAGTGGAGCATACATATCTAAGAACTAGAGATCACTCCCTCATATCAAAGAGCACATATTTAAATCTAGTTAAAGGGCACAAAATCACTTTCTCCATATTAACTCAATAGAGAAAAATAAATGTCTACTTAACATCCAGAAATTATGTCTTCTCACAAGAATGAGTTCACATACCATAGGGTGCACTGTTACACTTTTCAAAAAGGCAGATTTAACACACTTTTAACTGAATGATTAACTGAGTGAATATATAAAAAGTCACCCAGAAATGTGATGGACAGCATAAGAAAATAGTTTTGAGTCAGAAAGGCACAGGCAGGCATGCACTTAATGCAGCAGCTACAAATCTCACAGCAGTTAGAATAAGAAACTTATACAATGACCCATATCATATATACACAATGGCATTTTTCACACGTTAGGAAAAGGGAATGGATGCTGAAAAATTAATTTAAGAAATTTGATTCCGTGCAGTAAAAAATCAGAAAATAAGTAAAAGACTAGCAGAAATCTTAAAGTGTCTGATTGATTGCACAATCAACTTTTGGTAAGCCATAATGAACACCTCAAGGTAATGGAAACTGGGTGGGTATTACCACGGTACAGAACTTAATCTCTTATTTCAATCTAACTAATGAGAGTATCTAGGTAAATTCTTTATAAATACTTTTCTCTGCAAAAAAAAACAAAACAAAAAAAAAAAAAACCCTGCAGGCCAAAAGAAAAAAATGCATGCTATTATTAAACCATAAAGCGTTCTTATAAAAAAACATGATTTTGAACAAGTGATTACATCTCCTTCAGAAATAACTATGATATACAATGTACTTTGGGCAACATATTTTTAATATTCCAGGTTGCTACTGCTGTATAGCATTTTCAAAAAAAAAAAATCTCAATTTGGAATCAGAAAAATGTACAAGTCAGCAGTTTAATTAATTTACATTTCTTCAATAGCACCTTATCCACACTCCACGTACAAGAGAATGAAGACATTCTACGTTCCTTTAAAAAAAAAAATCAACTAAGCATTTCTATGGTTCTCTAGTTCAAAGTTGCTACTTAAAAAATAATTCTTTTTAAAAAAGCATATTCAAAAATCAATCCCTTGGTTTAAAGAGGTTTAGGGGAGAAATATCTCAAACACAAACCTTTAGTCATTCAAAATCAAAGTACAGAATCCTCTCCTACAAAATTGCTTCTCCAAAAGAATCTCAAGCATTTTATCTCTGTAACGTTATCATCCTTACTTAAGCTTTAAAAAAAAAAAAAAAAGATAAAAGAAATGATATACCCTAAAGACTGGCTATACATATACTTTCATTTGTCTACAGAATCCGTATATACACAGCCATTACCAGTCAGCATAATATATGATAATTTGGGAGATCGCTCTACTTGGTTATTTTAATTACCTGTAAGTGTCAATGTGGTCACCAGTAACCACACAAAAACCATTTTAAATACCCCTTGATCAATATGTTTGCTAATCTATGGAAGTCCCTGAACCTGACTGATACTAAATGATAAGACTGAGGAGGGAAAAAGTTGAGGCAAAAGGGGGTTTTACTCCCACATACCAAAAAATCAAGGGAAAATTATCACAATACTAAGAGAAAGAATTCCAACTTATAAATGAATTTTAAGATTAAATATCTGGATTAAAATATTTCATTTAAAAAAATTTACCTGATTTTACTAGAGTGGGAGCAATGATACTATGTCTTTGTAGGTAAAAATCACGTGTTGATTTTTTGGTCTGCATTGTAACACATTTAATAAAGTAACACTTTCATTTGAAAAGTTGGCGAGAATTTGCATTTCTCCATTAGTCTCATAGCAAAAAGGCATCTATGCCACCCATAATTAAATGTAACTAATTACAATTTGAACACTAAATTATTTATCCAGTGTAAACAAGGATTAAGAGGGAAATAATGCTTCTATCTACAGCGGGGGTTACAGAAAATAATTTCCAAAATGCATGCTCTCCAAAAGGGACTCACCTCCCCCCCAAAAAAAACAGGGTACACAACTTAAAACAAGTTGGGTGTTTTTAAGGCTAAATTAAATAAACCGTTCAGCCAATTTTCCAATTATATTCTACGCTTGAAACGTAATTGCCTTACATCTGTTTACAAATCTTTGCTCAATATTTAAACAAATTCGTACTCTCCTGGGCACATAGCTATACATACAGTAACTCATGCACAAAGCACATATTTAAAGACCACGCACTGCAATTATTAGCCTAAACGCCAGGTTTAACAACGTGAATGTTTTCAGAGGTAGGTAATACGACCCAATAAAAAGCAAAGATGGCATTTACCACCAAATGTCACTGACACCGCCAGGAAAAGAGTTGCTGGAGCCCTATACATTTTTAATTTCGATGAATCTAGACACCGTCGGCGGGTGCCAGGCTTCCACGAGAACAATTGACACCCTAACTGCTTCAAGATTAAGGCAGGCGATTCAAATCCGAAGGAAAAGTTGTCAATTATCAGAAAGAGAGAGCGCGAGAGAGGCGAAGGCAGATAAAAGCGATGTTATCAAACCGACCAGCTTGTTGCTTTTGTGTGTGTGTGTGTGTGTGTGTGTGTGTGTGTGTGTGTGTGTGCGGATTCGTTGTTAGGATAGAGAAAAACAGTTTTTAAAAGACACAGGAGGAGAGAAAGAAGAAAAAGCTTTCTCCACCTTCCGTCGGCTCGGTGCAATGGCTTTACGGCTCTCCAGCATAGTAAGCCCCGAGAGGCAGGCGGCTGTCGATGTTTACAATCGCGGGAGCTTCGGGTGCAAGAGTCCTTTCCTGACACAATCGCATTCAATCAACTATTTTAGGGCGAAATTGCAGGTGTCATTATGGAATTTAAAAAAATTCAAAAGGCAGGCGGGCGGGCAGGCAGCTGATCCAACAACGGGGGAAGAGGTTGCCGATCGGAGGCGCGGCAGCACAAGGCAAAGCCTTCCACATTTACGGGGGGAAAAAAAGGGGGGAAAGGGGAGGAGAAGGGGAGTGCGATTGCAACAGAGGGTGGGCGTTCGAAGTGCGACCCAGAATCCGCAGCTCCGAGACTTCCACATGCAAATTCCACGCCGAGCGCCGCGCTCACAAATGATTTTTAAAGAGCCAAATAAACACTGGATGGGATCCAAGGCGAGAGAGAGACGATCCAAAAGGGGGAGAATCGGCGAGAGGCGAACGGCGGGGAGACGCGAGGGAGGGGCGAAGTCCCGGCGGCGGGAGGAGAAAGTTGGTCGGCGGCGGAGGTCGGGGACCCCCCCCCTTCCCCGGCACAGCCCCCTCCCCGCAGCCCGGCTACTCACCAGCGAAAAGAGGTTGGAGTGACAATCCTCCAGGCTCGCCCCGTTCGCCACCCAGTTCGCTGCCGCAGTCATGATCCTCCGCGAGCCCGGCCGCCAGAGCGGGGCATGTCGGAGCGAGGCGTCCGAGGCGAGGCCGGGCCGGGCGGCGGCGCCTCGCCGGGGAGCGCGGGGCGGCCGGGCCGCCGCCGCCGCCGGGGGAGGGCGCGAGGGCCGGCGGGCAGGCGGGAGGCGCCGCGGCGACGCCGCGCCGGGGGCAGCGGGCCCGGGCTGGCGGGGGGGGCGCGCGCCCCGGGCCGGCGCTGCGGGCCGGCCACCGCCTCCGCCTTCCCTGCTCCTCAGCCGCCGCCGCCGCCGCTGCTGCCGCTGCCGCCGCCTTGTTTATCTCCAGCCACCGACTCCCCCTCGGCCCCCGCCGGCGCGCGAGGGGAGGCGAGCCCCGGAGCCGCCGCCGCCGCCTCGGAGCCGCCGCCGCCGCGGAGCGCGAACTCGCGAAGGGGGGGGTGCGGACGAAGCCAGCGGGCGACCCCGGCAGCCGAGCGACGTCCCCTCCTTCCTCTTCCTCCCCCACCCCCCCCTCCTCCCCAGTCAGCCTCGCTTCTCCTCCCTCCCCGGGCTCGCTTGCTCTGACAGCAATGGCGGCCGCCGACCGCGGCTCGGCCCGCCATTGGCTGGCGCTTGGTCACGTGACGGGCGCCGGCCGCGCGGGGGGAGCGAGGGGCGGGCGGGGGAGGGGTCCGGAGTGGCGGCGGCGGCGGCGGCTCGCGGGAGGCGCTGCTGAGCTGAGCGCGGCCGGGTCCTCCGGCCGGGAAGAGGGAGGGAGGGAGGCAGAGAGGGAGAGAAAGAAGTGCGGGCGGCCGGGCTCCCCGGCGGGCGGCGGACTGCCGGCCCGTGGCTGCCGTGGGCTGCCCCTCGTGGCCGCCCCGCCCCCTCGCGGTGCACTGATCGTGGCGGGGCGGGACCGTGGGTCCCGGGCGCGCCCGTGGTGGCCGCGGAGGAGGGCGCGGGACCCCCGGCCTGTGCCCTCGCAGCCCAGGCCGGCTGGCGTGGCGCGGCGGCCGCGATGTGGGCCAGGCAGCGGGTCCGAGTGCCCTGGGGAATGTGTCCTCAGAGGCTCGCGCCGCCGTCCGCCTTTTGCAGAGGAGAAAACTAAAGCACAAAGGGATTAAATCACTTGCCCGAGGTCGCACACTTGGGAAGAGGAGTCCAGATTCGAACCCGCGCACAGTGAAGCCAAGCTCTTGGACAAGGTTTCACAGGCTTCGCCCAGGGATATTCACGGCTGCCATAGACGGAGCGCTTACTGTGTTCCAGACACTGTGCGTTTAATACAGAAATGTTTATTGAGCCCTTACTCCTAGTTACTGTGTGCACTCATTCATTCATTCATTCATTCATTACATAAATGTTTCCTGAGCTCCTGCTGTGTGCCAGAATCTGTTATAACTTCCAGGCACTGTGCTAAGGCCGTGTTGGGAGCAGACCCTTCTTCCTGGCGTCATTCATTGGATAACCAACATTTCCTGAGTGTATATGGCCTGGGAGTCCGGAGGAGTGCTGCTATGAAGAGAAGCTCTCCCAGTCCTCAAGAAATGGATCCCCGAAAAGGGGGAGGAGAAAACAATGTCTTCACTAATACGCCTCCAAACATGGAACAATCAGCTGTTTCAGGTAGATTAAGCTAAAAGAGGAAGAGTGGATGGCTGGCACAGTGGCTCACGCCGGTAATCCTAGCCGAGGTTTAAGACCAGCCTGAGCAATGTAGCAAGAACCCCCGTCATGACAAAAAAAATAAAATACAAAAATACAAAAATTAGCCAGGCGTAGTGTGGCATGTGCCTGTAGCCCTAGCTACTCGAAAGGCTGAGGTGGGAGGATAACTTGAGCCCTGGAGGCAGAGGCTGCAGTGAGCCCAGTGAGCCGAGGTCGCATCACCGTACTCCAGCCTGAGTGACAGAGAGAGGCCCTGTCTCAAAAAAAAAAAAAAAAAAAAAAAGGAAGAGTAGAAAGCAGGGAAGAGATGAGAGTGTATAATAAGAGAAGTCTTAAGACACGTGAACTGAGTTTTGGAACTACCACAAATACTGCTAAAGCAAAACTCATGAGCAACATGTTATAATGTGTATTATCATGCAACATATTGTTACAATGAATGTCGTTACCTACATTATTTCACATAATCCGCAGAACAACCACCTAAAGTAGATACTGTTATTATTCTTAGGCTGTAATTAGGTAAAACTCAGAGGTGTGCAGTGACATCTCCAATCTCTCAGTTAGTACATGGCTCAAACTCAGGTCCTTCTGACTCCAGAGCCCGAGCATGAATTCAGGAGGCTCCTTAGAAAGATGCCTCTGGCTGGCTTTGCCATCCCTCTAATTGCATTATTTTGACCAACATAGTTTAACTCTTTGAGCCTCATTTCCTAATCTCAAAAATTGATCCTGATTGCTGACCCAATGACCTCAGGCCAATATTGAGAATTTCTATTAAGATACTGTTGATGAGCGGATGCAGTCGCTCACGCTTGTAATCCGTGCACTTTGGAAGGCCAAGGCGGGCAGACCAACTGAGGTGAGGAGCTCGAGACCAGCCTGGCCAACATGATGAAACCCTGTCTCTACTAAAAATACTAAAAATACAAAAATTAGCCGGGTGTGGTGGCGTGTGCCCGTAGTCCCAGCTGCTTGGGAGGCTGAGACAAGAGAATCGTTTGAACCCAGGAAGCAGAGGTTGCAGTGAGCAGAGATTGCACCACTACACACCAGCCTGGGCGACAGAGTGAGACTCCATCAAAAAAATAAATAAATAAATAAATAAAGATACTGTTGGTAAAAGTAAAAAAAAAAAAAAAAAACCACTCTGTCAACATACACGGTGTTACTTAGGCCTGAGCAATTCGAGGGTATAATGCCCATCATATCCAGATTCCATATATTTACATCAGAGGTGAAGGTAGTTCTATCCTACTCACCTGGTGACCAAATTGTCATTCTTCAGCATGTTTAGGTTTAAGTAGAAATAGTAATAGGCCAGGTGCAGTGGCTCACACCTGTAGTCCCAGCACTTTGGGAGGCCAAGGCCAGCGGATCGCTTGAGTCCAGGAATTCAAGACCAGCCAAGGCAACATGACAAACTCCCATCTCTACAAAAGAATTAGCCAGGTGCTCACCTGTAGTCCCAGCTACCTGGGAGGCTGAGATAGGAGGATCGATTGAGCCTAGGAATTTGAGGCTACAGTGAGCCATGATCTTGCCACTGCACTTCAGCCTGTGTGACGGAGACCCTCTCTCGAAAAATCAAATACTAATGATAAATCTTTCAGAGCAAAACCTAATAGAAACATGAATAAAGGACTTGGACAGTTTACAGAATAGAGAAGACCAGCTTTTAAATGCAGTCATGTACTACATTTTGGACAACAGTGGACCACATATATGACAGTGGTCCCATAAGATTATAATACCATATTTGTACTGTACTTTTTCTAAGCTTAGATGTGTTTAGATACACAAACACCATTATATTACAACTGCCTACAGTATTCAGTACAGTAACATGCCATACAGGTTTGTAGCCTAGGAGCAATAGGCTATACCATTTAGCCTAGCTGTGCAGTAGACTATCTCATCTAGGTTTGTGCAAGTGCACTTTATGATGTTTGCACAATGAGGAAATCACCAGTGTTACATTTCTCAGAACACATCCCCATCATTGACACTTGATTGTATATAAAATGTTACTCAACCTCACTCGTTGTTATTGGCTGAATGTTTGTGTCCTCCCCAAACTTCATATGTTGAAACTCTACTCACCACTGTAAAGATATTTGAAGGTGGAGCCCTTGGGAGGTAATTAGCATAAGAGTGGAGCCCTCGTGATGGAATTAGTGCCGTTGTAGGAAGAGACACAAGGGAGTTTGCTTCTCTCTCTCTACTGTGTGAAGACATAACCAAGAAGAGGGTCCTTACCAGGAACTGAAATGGCCAGCACCTGATCGTGGACTTCCCAGCCTCCAGAACTGTGTGAAGTAAATGTCTGTTGTTTAAAGCCACCCAGTCTATGGTAATTTGTTATAGCAGCTGGAGCCGACTAACACACTCATCATAAGAAAAAGCAGAAATTAAAGCCACAAGAAGTATTGACAGTATTTTAAAAGCTTAGACAAATGTAGAGAGAAGTAGGACTCTCATACACTGCTGGTGGGAATATAAATTAACACCATAGCTTTGGATGTCCGTTCAACTAGCATCAAAATCTATAATGCACACAGCCTTTGACCCAGCTGTTCGACTTCTAGAAGTTTATCCAACAGAGATACTTGTACGATTGTATAAAGACATGCAGTGCAGGGATATGAACTATAGCATTGTTTGTAGGGTACAAACTAGAAACATGTCCATCATTTGGGGAATAGTTAACAATATAATTTACTCCCATGCAGCCATTAAAAATAATGAGTTAGTGCTATTTGCACTAATATGGAATAATCTCAAAAATAGATTATTTATTGAGATACCTCAGGAAGGGTAACAAGAAACTAGTAGTAACATTAGTTGCCTCTAAGGAGGGGAACTAGGGGGACTGGGAGTTGGAGTGGGATTACTTTTTACCATACTGTTTGCATTTTCTTTTTTCCTTTGTTTAAAATAACCAAATGTTGGCCGGGTGCTGTGGCTCATGCCTGCAATCCTAGAATCCTAGAACTGGGAGGACAAGGTGAGTGGATAATTTGAGGTCAGGAGTTCAAGACCAGCCTGGCCAACATGGTGAAACCCCATCTCTACTAAAAATACAGAAATTAGGCGGGCATGGTGATGCGTGCCTATAATCCCAGCTGTTTGGAAAGCCGAGGCAGGAGATTGCTTGAACCTGGGAGGTGGAGGTTGCAGTGAGCCAAGCTCCTGCCACTGCACTCTAAACTCTAACCTGGGCGATGGAGTGAGCCTCTGTCTCAAAAATAAATAAATAAAATAAAATAACCAAATGTATACATATCCATTCAGTGCAGTAAGTTATAAACAACAAAAATCAATAAATAAAATTGAAAACAGAGTAATCAATCAAATGGCATCATAAAAGTAAACTTAAAGCAAATAGAGAAAACAAAAAAGAAGAAAGAAAAATACCCTCATCCACAAAGATTTTCTTGGCTGTCAGAGACCCCAAAGAGAAGGAGAAAACACTAGAAGTGCTGCTTGTAGCTGTGCTGACACCATGAATACAGAATGGGAACCCAATGGCAGCCAGTTGCAGTCTCAAATGCACTACGGAGCAGCCTATGATCCTGGACAAGCCAGTCAAACTTTCAGGGCCTCAGTTTCCTCGTGTGTGAAAACAGCAACTCGGGTGATCTTTCAGATCATTTCTAGCAGTGAAATTCTTTGACACTGCACGGTTGAAATTACTGATAAAGATCCACAGAATTCTTACTCAATAGAGAAAGCAATGGGAGTTGATGAGAAACCTCAGGAGATAAGATTAAAAGAAAACAAAACAAAACCATCAACTGACTAACAGGAAGCAGCAAGGAACAAAGCTCACAGACGTCGCAGTCCAGTTCCCTCTGTCGCAGTCCAGTTCCCTCTGTGGAAGGCACCTGATAACCATCCTCATGACTTGGTTTCCCCATTTGTGAGATTGCCTGCTGCCCAGCGGGCAACTGAAGTCCCAGGTCTTAGAACGACAGGTTAGTTCCCTTTCATGGTTACTAAATGTAATGGCAGAGAGAAAATGGAAGCAAAAATATGACCAGAGGAGGAACCATCTATTAGAAAGACCGCAGGAAGCTGCCAGAGCTGCAGTGTGGGAGCATTTTGCAGGAGTTAAGAATGTCGCTTCAGAATAAGAGACACCTGGGTTCCAATCTCCGCTCTGTCGTGCTCTAGTTGTGCGGCCTCGAGCAGGTCATTTAACCCCTGTGACCCTCATTTCTTCCTGTGCATTGACCTCCCAGAGTGATAGCTCAGGGAAAGTTCTTAGCACAGTGCCTGACTCCAAAGGTGGTGATCAATACATTATAACCCTCACAGCCACTTGTGCATTCTTATACAGGAAGGAGCATCACCCAGTCATATCACATGAAGGGTTTTTCCCTGTATAACCTAAACTTTATTGGATTTATTTCATTGCAAATGACAAAAGTACAGAATGCCAGCTATAAAAATATACCAAGAAAAGGGGAATACTCTTCCCTCTACCCCACTGAGATAACCAAAGTTCACACGTGGTTGTAGATAATCACTCTCTTTCCTCCAGACTCATACCAACCAACACAACTTAAAGACACATTTCTAAGGGAATTTTTTTTTTTTTACTTTTTATGAAAATGGGATCGTGTCACATATATTACTTTGCAATCTGCTTTTTCCACTTAATAGTTTGTCACAAATACACCTCTAGACCTATATATCTGCATCTAACTCATTCTTTTATTAGTTGTGTAATGTTTCATAGAACATCTGTGCCATAATTTATCAATTATTCCCCTATTCCTGAACATTCAGGGATTTTCCAGTGTTTTCCTACTTTAAATAAGGGTGCAATAAATAGCCTTATCCATATATCCTTATGTACCGACAGTTTTATTCCTGTGGAATAAAATCCCCAAAATAGGATTGCTTTTTTATTGTTAATAAATGTGTGTTTTTATTGTTAATAAATACAGCCAGAAGACTTTCCCCCAAAGGTTGCAGCAATTCACATTTCACAGTCCCTGGAGCTATACAGGAAGAGTGTACACTTCCTTACAATTTTGCCAGCATTTGGATGTTGCCAAATCTTTTAAAATTGTTGCCAACCTGATAGGTGAAAAAATGGTATCGTTTGTTTGCTTTTTTTTTTTTTTTTTTTTGAGACAGAATCTCGCTCTGTCACCCAGGCTGGAGTGCACTGATGTGATCTTGGGTCACTGCAACCTCCGCCTCCTGGCTTCAAGAGATTCTCCTACCTAAGCCTCCCGAGTAGCTAGGGTTACAGGTGTGCACCACTACGCACGGCTAATTTTTGTAGTTCTAGTAGAGAGGGGTTTTTGCCATATTGGCCAGGCTGGTTTCAAACTCCTGACCTCAAGTGATCCGCCCACCTCGGCCTCCCAAAGTTCTGGGATTACTGATGTGAGCCACCGTGCCCAGCCTGCATTTGCTTTCCCTGAAACTCTAGTGAGGTTGATCTTCTCTTAGGCATTGCAACCATCTGCATTTCCTCTTGAGTTGTTTGCTGTTAGCAGCTTAAAACAAAAGAGAACCAAGTTCAGTTCCAATGAGACCAATAAGAAGCTTGGCACAATGACAGAACCTGGTCTTTGGTCACTCTCTCCTGGCATGGACAAGATAATTCATTCCATAATTGCATAAAGATTTTCTGAACATCTTTCATGCGGTAGGCTGATACTTTTCATTCCCTTTCATAATTCAATTTTTAAGTTGAGATGTTTCAAGTCTCCTCTTAAATGGTTTTATACCAATCGAGCTACGCTGTCTTGGGCAATAACAGTTTTGCTCATAACCACTAAGGATTTCCTAATTGTTCCAACCTCTCCCCTAAGACAGTATAGAGGATGAAGTAAAAACAACAGCAGTTATCGCCGATTTGGAGAGGCAGTGTCTGCAGGTCACTGGTTGAGGCATGAGTAAGAGCAAGTGCTTTAGAGCTGGACAAGACCTGGTTCAAATCCCAGCTCTGCCATTACTCTTCTGACCACCTTGGGCTGTGATTTAAACTCTCTGTACCTGGCTTTTCTCATCCCTAAAGCAAGGTCATGTTCATACCAGCCTCCTAGAACTATTGTGGCCATTCAGTGAGTTACTGTACACAAAGCACTTGGTACCTGCCTGATACATAGTAAGTGTTAATACATGTCAGCTTTATCATTAACCTCCAGAGCTCCTTTTTATAAAACAAAGGAGGAGGACGAACTCCAAGAAACACCACCAAAGAAGTAATTTAAGCAATTATTTGAGTTGCTAGCAGTTCCAATGAGATTAATTTAACTGGATTTAGTGGCATTTTGCCTACACCTTTTGTACACTTAAGAAGGCCTCTTTGCCTGGGGTAATGCTGATTCTAGTAGCCCACAATGAATTGCTTTCAAATAGCCCATCATAAAGCCTAAGGAAGTTCTGAACAGTGTCCCCTGATATTTTTCTTTGATGACACTGCTGCTGTTTGACCAAAAAAGGGGTGAACTATATTTCTATATTTATACTTTTTTTGGCCTCCACTAAGTTTCTTACACATTGCAGGCTATGGCCATCACAGGTGGTGAAATGTGTCACCTGGAACTAAATTCTGCTTTCTCTGGACAGACATATATATACACACACACACACACATACACCAGAAACCTGAATGGTCCCAATGTACAACAGCCAACTCAGGTTTTAGGGGAACAAAATCATTTTTAAGAAAAGAGAGTGAGATCGTGCCATGGCACTACAGCCTGGGTTACAGAATGAGACTCTGTCTTTTAAAAGAAAGAAAGAAAGAAAGAGAGAGAAAGAAAGAAAGAAGAAAGAAAGAAAGAAATAAAGGAAAGAAGGAAAGAAAGAAAGAAAGAAAGAAAGAAAGAAAGAAAGAAAGAAAGAAAGAAAGAAAGAAAGAAAGAGAAAAGAAAAGAAAAAAGAAAAGAAAAGAAAAGGAGAGTGTTCATGAGGTGTAGATTCTCTAACTTTTTTTCTCCAGGGGTGTGTAAGTGTGAGTTCAAGGCTCATGAAAGTAAGGGGCTGTCCAGGTGGCCCTGAGCCAGGTCTCACTCTGGTAGGGAAGATGCCAACTTCTCTGCCAACTCTGCCAGAACATCTCACCCTTTCTGTTTTCTATGCCCCAGGCCAGGTCTAAGCGCCCAGGCTCCCAGAGGGGCTTTGTAAGGAAGACAAATGTCTCTTTAACGGTGGCCTTAATTAGGGATTTCAGCAAGGTCTGGATGGGTAGGAAGGCAACTGATCTAGCCACCCTACCCTGGCAATACTCCTCTTTGAGTACCCATATCCAGGTCCTGGCATGTTAGACAAAGGCCACCATCCTCCAGGGATCACACACAGTTCCTCCAAACTCTCTGGCACCTTGAGTCCTCAGGCCTGAGAAGACAGTTCTTTTTTTTTTTTTTTTTTTTTTTTTTTGAGACAGAGTCTCACTCTGTCGCCCAGGCTGGAGTGCAGTGGCGCAATCTCAGCTCACTGCAAGCTCCGCCTCCCAGGTTCACGGCATTCTCCCGCCTCAGCCTACCGAGTAGCTGGGACCACAGGCACCCGCCACCAAGCCCGGCTAATGTTTTTTTTTTTTGTATTTTTAGTGGAGACGGGGTTTCGCCATTCACAGGATGGTCTCGATCTCCTGACCTTGTGATCCGCCTGCCTCGGCCTCCCAAAGTGCTGGGATTACGGGCTGAGCCACCGCACCCGGCCAAGAAGACATTTCTTGTTCTCAAGCACAGGTGTACTGGCTTCCTGCTGGCTGGGTCCCTGCCCCCGGGGCCAGATCTTGCTTTCTGCAACAGATCTTTTATTTAAAAGCACCCCTGCCCAGGCGCAGTGGCTCACACCTGTAATCCCAGCACTTTGGAAGGCTGAGGCGAGCGGATCACTTGAGGCCAGGAGTTTGAGACCAGCCTGGCCAACATGGTGAAACCCCATCTCTACTAAAAATACAAAAATTAGCCGGGCGTGGTGGCGCATGACTGTAATTCCAGCTCTTCGGGGGGCTGAGGCATTGAACCCAGGAGGCAGAGGTTGCTGAGCCGAGATTGTACCACTGCACTCCAGCCTGGGCAACAGAGCGAGATTCTATCTCAAAAAACAACAAAACAAAAACAAAACACCACACGTGAAATTCAAGTCATCCCTTTGTCTTCCCTTTGCCCCAGTGACAGGTTTCTTGGGCTTCTCTAGTCACGTGGGTACTAAATTCTCATCAAAGGTGATGCAAGCAGGGGAGCTCACCTCTCCTGCTTGGGTCTCAGTTTTCCCTTCTTAAAATGGACTGCCAAGCCGGGCGCGGTGGCTCACGCCCGTAATCCCAGCACTTTGGGAGGCCGAGGCGGGTGGATCACGAGGTCAGGGGTTCGAGACCAGCCTGACCAACATGGTAAAACCCCATCTCACTAAAAATACAAAAATTAGCTGGGCGTGGTGGCAGGCGCCTGTAGTCCCAGCTACATGGGAGGCTGAGGCAGGAGAATGGCGTGAACCCGGGAGGCGGAGCTTGCAGTGAGCCGAGATCATGCCACTGCACTCCAGCCTGGGTGACAGAGCGAGACTCCGTCTCAAAAAAAAAAAAAAAAAAAAAAAAAAAAAAAAAAAAAAAAAAAAAAAAAAAGGTGGACTGCCAAACTCTTAGGATGTTGGAGAATCATCATCAATTGGTTTTTTAAATTGTGAGCACAATTTCTCTATTTTCAGATGCGCTGACTGCAAGAGTCTATCGTGGATGGAAATGGAGTTTGTGTATAGAGTCACTCTGTTGCTGCTGTCGGTACAGATCGCTTCCCCAAGGAAATAAATTACATTTCATTCTCTATATATTGTTTACTTTATAGTCTCTTGATCTTACTTTGCTGACTTCTTGTTGTAGATTTTTCAGTAGCTTGCTTCCCACTTAATCACAACAGGTTCTGTAAATGTTAGCAAGTTGTGTTATGGGGATTTGCTACCAGCATTTCACAACGGTTACTGAACATATAAACCCCTTCTTTATTCTACCAAAAAAAAAAAAGCCTTAGTAAATATTCCCCTCACTTACAAAAAAATATAGACCCCTAAAATGATTTCCCAATGAGCAGATTTTATTTCATGTTAACCATGCAACAACTGGAAACACATTTAGGGTTGTTCTGTATTTGTGGTTTTATGAGGAGTTCACTGTTTACTTAGCATGTGCATTTCTGATGAGCCTGTCCATTATAATCTAATCCGTCACTACTCAAAATTCTAACAGAAGAAAGACTTTCTTCTCCCACCTCCTGGCAGAGCTAGTCAGCCAAGACACACCCAGTTATACTACTCCTTATCATGCCATCTTTTCAGGAGGCTCTTTTCTGAGTGTGTTTATCAGGCTCATTTTATGCTAGGCATCTAATCTTCCCAACTATCTTGGAGATAAGGCCTATCCCAGAACCCATTTTACAGATGAGATAACTGAGGCCCAGAGAGATGAAGTGATTTGCCCAAGGGCACACACCCTGGAAGTACAAGGCAGCACATGAACTTTGGCCGCTACGACCTCCTGTACTAAGATGAAGCTGAGAGAACTCCCCTGCCCCCAGTGCTTCAGATACTCTCTGCCCCTTGTTCCAAGTTCTCCGCCTTTTTTACCAGCCAGGTGTGACCCCCCACCCAGTTGTCTTACAGGGGCCTGCAGCAATACAGCTGGGCCACTTAGCAGCCACCCACTCTTAAGTGGCCTCACCATTCGGAGACTCCACTTTCTCATCCATAATGTGGGCGTAATTATATGGACCTCACGGGAAAATCAGTAATAATGATAAGCACGGGCATGTTTACTAAGATCTTTGAATATGCCAGGTACTGAGCCAGGTACTTTGCACCATGGTCTTATTGAATCCTCCCAACACCCCTTCGAAGTAGATACTATTATGATCCCTCTTTATAGATGAGCAAACTGAAGGACAAAATGAAATATCCAGAATGTGCCACCACCCAAACCCAAGCCACGGTCCCTTTGTTGCTCTCACTCCTTCTGCCCCCAGCCCTCCTAAGTTCTATTCTCCACATGGCAACCAGTGGGATCCTGTTCAAACCTAAGTCCTATCATGTCACTCCACTGCTTTAAACTCTTCCATGGCTCCCATCTCACTCAGACACGTCGCCATGGCCTGTAGGGTCCTATGGAAACAGGCTTTGTGCTCTGGCCCTCAGACCTCATTTTTTCCAGCCTTCCCAGTGCACACCCTGCTACAGGCATGCTGATTGCCCCAAGGCTGTTTCACACACTCAGGTCCCTTGCAGAGCCCTTTTCCCCAGGGCATTCATACAGCTCCCTTCCTCGCTTCTGTTGGGTCAGATGTCCCCATGTCAGAAGCCCTCTTAGACCACTGCACTGAAAACATCATGCCCCTCCATCTCACACCCCTCACTATGTTTACTTTTCTCTTGGCATCTAGAGTCACCTGACTGGCTCACATCTATAATCCTAGTATTTTGGGATGCCGAGGTGGGAGGATAGCTTGATGCCAGGTGTTCCAGACCAGCCTGGGCAACATAGTGAGACCCTGTCTCTACAAAAAATACAAAAAATTTAATGGGTCTTTACATGTGACAGAAAAGTAAAAAAAAATTAAAAAAAAAAGAGGCCAGGCTTGGTGGTGCATGCTGGTGGTGCATGCTGGTGGTGCCAGCTACTCAGGAGGCTGAAGTGGGAGGATCACTTGAGCCTGGGCAGTTGAGGCTGCAGTGAGCAGTGATCACACCAATGCACTCCAGGCTGGGTGACAGAGTGGGACTCTGGTCTCAAAAAAAGAAAAAAATTTTAGGCTGGGCACGGTGGCTCACACCTGAAATCCCAGCACTTTGGGAGGTCAAGGCGGGCAGATCACCTGAGGTCAGGAGTTTGAGACCAGCCTGACCAACATGGAGAAACCCCGTCTCTACTAAAAATACAAAAATTAGCCAGGCATGGTGGTGGGTGCCTGTAATCCCAGCTACTCGGGAGGCTGAGCAGAAGAATCACTTAAACCCAGGAGGTGGAAGTTGCAGTGAGCCAAGATCACGCCACTGCACTCCAGCCTGGGCAACAGAGTGAGACTCAGTCTCAAAAATAAAAAATAAGCTGGATGCAGTTGGCTCACTCCTGTAATCCTAGCACTTTGAGAGGCCGAGGCAAACAGATCACGAGGTCAGGAGATTGAGACTATCCTGGCTAACACGGTAAAACCCCGTCTCTACTAAAAACACAAAAAAATTAGCCAGGCGTGGTGGTGGGCGCCTGTAGTCCCAGCTACTCGGGAGGCTGAGGCAGGAGAATCCCTTGAACCCAGGAGGCGGAGTTTGCAGTGAGCCAAGATCACACCACTGCACTCCAGCCTGGGTGGCAGAGCAAGACTCTGTCTCAAAAATAAATAAATAAATAAATAAATAAATAATTTTTTAAAAATGGAGAGACGATTAAAGTCACCTAACATATCATACATTTATCTTTATATATTTTTGCCTGTCTTCCGCTCCCTCTATTAGAATGTAAACCCCTTGAGGGCAGGGTCTTGAGGGGTTTTTCCCCTGTTTGTTTACTGCCATATCCACAATGCCTATAACGTTGCTGGCATTTAACAAATATTTGCTGAATGAAGGAATACACAATAATCCAGTACTATACAGTAAGCCCCCACCAGTGCTTGGCATAAAGTAAGTGTCAATAAATGCTAAGCTGTTATCATCAGAGGCGTTAAACCACCTTGGGCCACAGGCAGCTCTTCTCCTTGGCAGGAGGACGAGGGCCTTGTCAACTCCAAGCCTCACTCTACCTCTGTCCAGAAAAACTCACTTCCGTGGGAGCAGGAGCGCCAGTACCTCCCACCAGCAGCTGAGAGGGGACAGTAGCACTTTGCCGCTTGGCCTGGGGTGAGGTCGGGGGTCACCAGACCACAGAGGAGGGAGTTTTGTAGGTTTCCTGAGGAGCTGCAGGGGTCAAACTGCATCTTCAGCACCTGAAGCAGACAACTGCTTCCCGAGCCAGAATTAGGATCAAATCATAGTCTAAGTATCTCCAGTAAGTTCTGTGCCCCCACCACAGCAACCTGGCTAGCACTGGGAATTAAATTTTGTATAATAATCTGATTTTCTCTCTAATTTTGAAAGTAACACATGCTCCATAAAATATTCAAACATCAAAGAAATATGTAATTTAGAAAATGAAACACCCCTTTTCCCAACCCAGATAGCTACTATTAACAATTTGGCATGCAGGATATTCATCTAAATTTTTTTCTAAACATATTCTAACGTGTGTTACTACTATTATTACTTACAAAAATGGAATCATCCTTTATATTCCTTTTGCACCTTGTTGTTTTTCCTTAAGTTTATTGAGATGTAATTTACATGTAGTAAAACCCGCCATTTTTAGTGTAGTTCTCTGAGTTTTGACAACATATCTGTAGTCATATAAGCATTACCATAATCAAGGTTTAGAACAGTTCCATTAACACCTTCCCCACCCCAAATTCCCTCCTGCTTCTTTGTAGTCAATCACTTTCCTCATCCTTAGCTCCTGGCAATGATTACTCTATTTTCTGTCCAATTTTTCTTTCCCATAATGTCATATAAACAAAATCATAAGGCACAGAGCCATTTGTATCTGGTTTCTTTCACATAATACATGTGAGGCCCATCCACGTTGTTGCATGGATCAATGGTTCATTCCTTTTTACTGCTGTATAATATTTCATTGCATGGACGTATCACAGTTTGTTTATCCATTGACCAGTTGAAGGACATTAGGGTTGTTTCTAGTTTTGGTACGATTTCAGATAAAGCTACTATGAGCATCCACATACAAGTTTTAATGTTAGTTTAGTTTTACTGTTTAAATGCTAAGTGTCATTATTATTACTTTACTTTTTTTTTTTTTTTTTTTTTTGAGATGGAGTCTCACTCTGTCACCCAGGCTGGAGTCAGTGGGGCGATTTCGGCTCACTACAACCTCCACCTCCTGGGTTCAAGTGATTCTCCTGCCTCAGCCTCCTGAGTAGCTGGGACTACAGGTGCACACCACCACGCCTGGCTAATTTTCGTATTTTTAGTAGAGACGGGGTTTCACCATATTGGCCAGGCTGGTCTCGAATTCCTGACCTCGTGATCTGCCCACTTCAGCCTCCCAAAGTGCTGGAATTATAGGCGTGAGCCACCGTGCCCAGCCCTTACTTTACATTTTAAATACCTTTTTGTCATTTCTCTTGGCTAAATACCCAGAAGTGAGATTGCTGGGTCATAGAGTAAGTATATATATTTATAAGAAACTACTAAACTGTTTTCCAAAGTGTTTTTTCCCTGCCTCTTGCTTTTTATTTCCTAACCTAAGAAATATATATTGCCTGATAATATGTATTTATTTGCTTGTGAAATCTTTCCCACTAGAATGTAAGGACATGGTCTCCTTTGTTCACCATTGCATCTTTTTTACCTAGGACAATGCCGTGCACATAGTATATGCTCAAGAAATGTGTGTTGGGGGCCCGGCATGGTGGCTCATTCCTGGAATCCCAGCACTTTGGGAGGCCGAGACAGGCGTATAGCCTGAGGTCAGCCTGGTTAACAGGGCGAAACCTGGGCTTTACTAAAAAAAAAAAAAAAAAAAAAAAAAAAAAAAAAAAAAAATACAAAAATTAGCCAGGCATGGTGGCATGTACCTGTAATCCCAGCTACTTGGGAGGCTGAGGGACAAGAATTGCTTGAACCCAGGAGGTGGAGGTTACAGTGAACCAAGATTGCGCCACTGCACTCCGGGCTGGGTGACAGAGCAAGACTCTGTCTCAAAAAAAAAAAAAAAAGCAAAACAAATAAAAGAAAATAAATGTGTGTTGGATGAATGAGCCCCATGGACCTTCTTCCACGTGAGGGCAAGTAGATACATATCATTAACCCGCAAGACAACATCATGGATTCCACTACTGGGTGTGTCTCACCTGACTCCACCATTCCCTTATTAGTGGGTCCTTGGTGCTCCTCTGTTTTTCACTACTACAAACAAGGCTACATCCATGAGCTTGCATAGTTATTTGCAAACTTGCATGAGTTTTTCATTAAAACAAACTTCCAGAAGTAGAATTGTGGGTCAAAAGACATGAAAGATTGCAATTTTGGTAGGTTTTTGCAAAAGGTGATACTGATTTATACTTCCACCAAGAGTGGGGGAGGTTACCTGCTTCAGAAGGGTCCTTGCTTCACTGCAGCCCTGCCTGCACTGAGTATTACTGATGGAGATGAATATCAAATCCATGTTGCTGAGGGGCTCAGAATCAGCAAGACCAGCGCCTCCCTAATTATTGGATTTGTTACAGGCGTCCAGTCTCCTGGTCTCCTGAGAGAATTGTGGAAACTGACATAGGATTGACAACTTCTTGTTTTGCTAAGAAAGAATCAAAAATCAAAATAAAACCAAAGCTACTATCTACAAAACACAGTACCTTCTCTCATCTTATAAATAAAAGGACATTTTACTGCATTGAAAAATTGGAAAGGCAAACTCTGAGAATAAAAGAAATCAAATTGTAATACATTTGAACTTTGGTTTATTAGTATTATGTTATTACTATTTCACTGTGAACTTGGGGAAAGAATGCAGCAAGGGGCTTGTGGATGGGTTTGGATGGAAGCCTAGTTACTACCAGTAGGCCTGCGTAGGTGACCCTGTGAGGGATCTAAATGAGAACAAAAGGTAGTTGGAAAAAAAATGAAACTGAACAGGGGAAAGAAATGAAAGTGTTACAATTAGCTAATTGGGCCCAGTTCTTCTGGATATAGCTTTATCTCCCCCACTGTGCGCAGAGCTCTTCTCCACATCAAAGACCACTCGCACGCCTGGAGAATTGGAACCGATGTTTATGGAGTGCTTTGAAGATGTAAAGTACTGTTTAAATGCTAAGTATCATTATTATTACTTTACATTTTAAATACCTTTTTTTTTTGGTGGGGATTTTTAATACGTTTGCAATTTGATTTAATGTGCGAGCAAGCCTGTCTGCTACATCATACTTCAATTCTGGCTTAGGTGAGGCAAGGAACCCAATGTACCTTTGGAATACAGAACCAAGCTCACCACCTTGTCCTTGTAAATTGTGTTTTCCAGGAAGATGAACACTGTCAATCAGATGCTGTCAGTTTATGTAAGAACATGTCTCAAGATCTAATTGAAATACAGTATCTTTCCAGGCAGAGTTGATAGAGTTATCACATTACAGATTTTATTTGACTCTGCATCTCAATTCATTCCTTTGTATAGTTTCCAGATTTCTTCATAAAACAGAAATTAGACACAGTCTTGACATTAGAATTTCACGAAGAAGCAATCAAATCCAAATTACTTCCAAGAAAGAAAGGACTATAAAAGTAACTAAACAAAATGAAAGAAAAAGACATTCTGGAGGGCCCTAGTTCATGAATTAATTTTGTTATTTGGTTCTTGGGACAAATCCAACTTAATTTAAGAGGTTGCCAGACATAAAACACAAGGAAAAACTTTTGCCTCTGTGGCCAGCAGGAGCTTGGAGAGAAACACGGTAAAGTTTGAAAGTTTTGTTTACTTTTCATCTTTGGTTTTGCATAGAACTCAGACAATAAACTGGTCACTATCCCTTCTTCAGCTTATAAAGACTTGACTGGTCAGTATCCCTTTCATGTGTTCACTGTGTGTTAATAGATTTTTTTTCCAGCATTGGTGGGGGATTTTTTAAATTAAAGAATCATCAAACTTAAATGAATTCCTGGACATAAAACTTGGATCCAAAATGGAACATAGTCATTGGACCTTTTCAATTTCCTATGGTAACCAAAGACCAAACTGTGTTTTAAAAACTGTTGTAGTAATGAGATTCACAAGAGGTATCGAGTTACTAAGTGGCTTTTAGCCTCTTTTGAAACTAAAGTAAAGGAAAATCTCATTAATTTGAACTGTGCTAATAATGGCATTTGTTATAATTCAACCTGGCCTGAGCTGCAGTTTACCTTTAGTCTACCTGTGAAGAAAAGTTTACCAGAGTAACTGTGTCAAGAAGATTGTACAGGGCGCATTCCATGTCTTCAAAAGAGTAAATTGCCGTAAGGCTTTTAGCACCTCACTCTTACCCAAATAAATTCCTGCCAAATCCAGATGAGTTTTAAATGTTGATTAGAGCAGAAGAAAAGTACTACTACTTGGAAACCCTTTCTTTGTCAGGGTCTCCTCTGTACTCAAAAGGAATAAAGGTTCATTTTGTTTAAGGATTCTAAACAGTCTCTTTAATACAGAAAGACCTCTTAACCTGCCCTTCACACCAGTTGTTATGAACGCATGAGGCTTCATTGAAGCAGTAGCAAAGATCTGTAATTACAAGCACTAACAAGGGAATGAACTCAAAGGAATGTTTTTTCCCACTTGTATGTGTCAGGCCATGAGCTTAGCACTTTCTGATTTCTTTACATTGTGCCTGGTGCCTGGTTACCAACAGATTCTTAGCAGAGAATCATATTTACTATTAATCTGTATCTTTTTCCAGCTATACCAGAATATTAACATCCATTGGCCTCATTGGCATCAATGGCCAGGTAAAAGATTGTCAAAGGAAAAGGAGGGACCTATGTATAAAGAAATAGATAATAGATGATAGACAGATGGATGGAAGAGTAGATAGATAGTAGGCGAAGAGAGATGGATGGATGATGGAGGTCAGATGAATGGATGAATAAATGATGGAAAATGGATGGATGGGTAGATGGATGGAGGATGGAAGATGGATGATGGAGGGATGGAGGATGAAGGATGAGTGGATGGAGGATGAAGGATGGGTGGGTGGATGGATAATGGATGGATGGATGGATAGATGATGGATGGATGGATGGATGGATGGATGAAAGGATGGATGAATGGATGAATGGGTAGATGAATGATGGATGGATGAATGGATGGATGAATGGGCAGACAGAACTATTCAAAGCAAAGAAACTTTAAACATACTATCCAGGTGTCAGTGAGTAATTTTTCTTTCCATTTCTTCAGTTTTCCATTGAATCAAGGACAGTGGCAGGGCACATTGGATATCTATGAAACAAGAATGGCACAGCCCTTCTGGCTATCGCAGTGGACTCTGTATCTGGAGCTCATCAGATGAGGTCCAAAGTCTGTAAGAAACCAACAGGAGGAGCTGAAGCAGGCTAGATCCCAGTCTGTTAGGGAAGCTGGAGAAAGGGTCAGTGTGGCGGCTGCATGCACCAAGTAAACACAGAGGTTCTGCTAACTTGAAGGATTGGTTTGATACTGTGATGCTTGAGTTTTGTTTTCCTTCCCACAGTATTACTTAATGGATGTAATTTAATGGGTGCCAAAAGTCTCCAAATCTCTCTTCCCTACTAGAAGGAAATGCCTTAAATTCTCACCATTCCATTCACATTTTTTTAATTCAAAAAGCTTTTTGCTTTATTAGATTATAAAAATAACATTAACAAGTAAATAAATAAGATAAAATGAGAGAGCAAAAGGAAAAGAAACGCAAGCTCTCCATTAAATATTCAAACAATATGGAAGAATATTAATGAGCAAGTGAAAATGACCTACAATTCCATCATTCCATGATATGCACTACTAACATGTTGAAAAATATCTAATGAAGCAATAAAAGCAGCATATTTAAAGATCTACCATGCTCCAGGCACTGGATTACAGGGGACAATGTTTGTCCTTTGGGACTTCATAAGCTTCTGAAGGAAACAAATGAGGTATTATAAGTGTGATGAGTGTTTTGCAACTTGTTTTCTGCACTCAACAACGTGTCATAGGCATCTTCGTGTGTGTGTGTGTGTGTATGTGTATGCATATATCAGGGATGAAAATATCACTAAGTATTTATCAACTTTTCACCTATTCTTTCTTCTAAAGAAGATTCTGCCTTTGCCTCCCTAATCCCTAGACCTTTTGTTGGACCCATCAGGGACTGGAGAAGCTAAGAGTGAGTACATTGACTTGCAATTTGCACAAGGAAGGACCTGAAGCCACCTGGGGTAGAACAGAGTAGATCAAAAAGGGAGTAAGGCCAGGCATAATGGCTCATGCCTGTAATCCCAACTCTTTGGGAGGCTGAGGCAGAAGGATCACTTGAGCCCAGGAGTTTGAGCTTGCAGTGAGCTATGATGGTGTCACTGCACTCCAGCCTGGGCAACAGAGCAAGACCGTCATCATTACAAAAATTAAAAAAAAAAAAATTAGGCATGGTGGCACCTGATTGTGGTCCTAGCCTCTCAGGAGGCTGAGGTGTGAGCCCAGGAGTTCCAGGTTGCAGCGAGGTATGATGGCACCACTGTACTCCAGGCTGGGCCATACAACAAGACCCTGTCTCTTACAATTAAAAAAAAAAGTGGGGAGGAGTGGATGAATGAAGAAGGAAAGAGTGCCTGAAGAAAAGAATATAATAGCCCACACTGAAATTGGGAGGAAATGAGGAGAAGCATTTAAGGAAGTAGCTGTTACAATGAGGGAGACTTGAGGATCGTACGGATTGCTCAAAGAGGCTTCAGTTCAGATATCAATTATTTTCCAATGCTGGTGATTCTTTGGTATGTGATTCTTTGGTTGAGACTGGCCACAGTTTGGCTCATTGTAGTCTGATAGCACATAAAACTACCTCATTCTTTTTGATGGCTGTATAGTGTTCCATTGTGTGAGTGTAAACAAACTTTATTTACTCCTTTCCCTTTAGGCTGAGATGTAGGTCATTAGATCTATTTTTGCTATTAAATATAGACACTGTGATGGACATCTTTCCAAATAGGCTTACTTCTAAAAAGTGAAAGATAGGTAGGTGAATGAAGACAGGGAAATAGGAAAGAAAGGAGAAGAAAGAAAGAAAAAAGAAACAGCAAGAGAAAAAGAAAGAAAGGAAAGAAAGAAAGAAAAAGAAAGAAAGAAAGAAAGAAAGAAAGAGGAAGGAAGGAGGGAAGGAAGGAAGAAAAAACTGTGGTTTATCTATACAACACAATACTACTCATTCACAAAAAAGAATGAAATATTGATACACAAAACATGGATGAATCTAAAATTAATTACACGAATGAAAGAAACTTCTGTATGTTTCCATTTCTATAAAATTCTAGAAAGAAAACAGACCAGTAGTTGCCTGGGTACTGGGATGTGGGACAGGAGAGAGGGATGACAAAGGGGCATGAGGCCATTTTTGGGAATGATCCTATATTAATGATCTTGATTGTGGGATAGTTTCACAGGGGTACACATAAGTTAAAATTATTAAACTGTACACTTTAAACATGTGCAGACTATTGCATGTCTGTTATACCTTAATAAAACTAATAAAGTAGATGATGATAGGCAGACAGATGGGAGTGGCCTTTTAAGGTGAACAAGAGAAGAAAGGGGACCCAGCCGAGTGATTTAGGAACAGTTGGCTTGGGGCCTGGGGAGAAAGGCAGAGAGTATACTGTGGATTTCTGTGGGACACCACAGTGCAGAGGGGTGTTTTTAGAGGGCAGCCCTGATAAGATAGCTTCTAGGATTGAGGAGATGGGCAAGGCTAAGACCCAAGTCCCACCTCATACTAATTTCCCAGCTGCAGCATAGATCTGTTTTTGACCCCTCTGCAATACAGAACTTGAAGTGGTTAAAAGGCTGGGGCAGCCCTAGGTTCGTGTACTAGCTCTGATCCTTTTTGTTTGTTTTTTGAGACAGGATGTCACTCTGTCACCCAGGAGGGAGTGTAGTGGCATGATCATGGCTTACTGCAGCCTCAACCTCCTGGACTCAAGCGATCCTCCCACCCCAGCCTCCTGAGTAGCTGGGACCACAGGCATGTGCCATCATGCCCAGCTAATTTTTTATTTTTATTTTTCATAGAGATGGGGTCTCACTATGTTACCCAGGCTGGTCTCAAACTCCTGGGTTCAAGTGATCCTCCCACTTCAGCCTCCCAAACTGTTGGGATTATAGGTGTGAGCCACCGTGCCTGGCCTGACTCTGCTCCTTTTTAACTTTGTGGACTTGGCAGGTGAAGCCCCCTTTCTGAGCCTCAGTTTTCTCATCTGTAAAATGGGGATAGTAAGTAGTACCTACAATAAAGTGTTTGCGAGACATTGTGAAATAAAGGCACAGAGTGCTTAGCAAACTGTGTGACACATAGTGGGCACTGAATAATAGTTTATTTTATTTTTTTATACAGTATTTAAGAGATTAAGAGCTGGGACTCTGGAGTCAGGCCAACCCAAATTCAAATCCCAGATAATCGACTTTGAGCAGGTGACTTAAATTCTCTGAGTTTCATCTCCTCATCTATAACCTGGAGACGATACACATGCATTGGTTAAAAGCCTGGAAGGAAACAGAGGGCACACTCAAACTGAGTAATTTGAGGAGAGTTTAACATAGAGATTATTTGCACAGGTGTGGGCAGAATTTAGGACTATCAACAGGGTAGAGTGTGATACCTGGGTTGGCAAAGGGAGGTGCTGTTACTACCCCTGGGCTTGCAAGGACTAGAAGGGTCAATTGCCAAACCTGAAAAGGCGGAGCTGTATGGAGAAGGTCACCCAACAGGAAATGTGGCATTTGGAAGAGGCACAGCCAGTCCATGGCAACATAGAAAGGAGAAGTGTGGGGGACAAGTGTCCCAAACTCATTGTCTTCCTTCCTCCGATCTCCTGCCAGTGCCTCTTCTCTCCTTAGACAAACCCAACTAGGGGCCAGAGGGCCAGGGAGCCAACGGGAACAGCTCAGCCCCAAAGGTTCAGAGTAGGAGGACAAAAGGATGAGTGAACCTAGAGGGGCGAAAAGATTAAATTCAATAGGTAAAGGTCCAATCTCATGGGATTAATAGCAACTCCTGAGTAATCAATGAGATCAGGTTAATAAAGCATCTAGCACATAGTAAGGCTCCCCTAAGTGGCAGCAGCCCATGGTTACCCTGGAACCAACCCTAGCTAGATTCTCAGGGTTGCTGCCTGGCCAGCCTTGACCCAACCCACAGTGCTGGGAATGGAACAGAGCTGATCTTCTCCTACTTTCTGTGTTTACTTAGAGAAAACTTGGCTGCTTAGAGCCAGAAGAGGTTGACTGTGGTTTTCTGCAACAGCTGGGGGTGAGGGGAGGCAGAGAGAGGGGAGCTGGAACATATTAGGACTCCTGAAAGCCAAGAGACCCCAGAGCCCGGGAATCTGAGAAGAGTCCACACGCAGAACAGCATTTGCTTGCTGTCACTTTGCCAAGAGATTGTGGATTTCAGGGCTGAGTGGCAAGTCCTGGGACCTCATCCCCAGGAGGCAGGGCCACGGGGCTGCACCCAGGGCCGGCTATGTGGAATGTGCTGCTCTTGGAAGCGACTGAGGCTCTCGCTTTTTAAAATTGGCCTGTAAATCTCCGTATAGTTTTCAGGGTTTAGGAATTTTATTTTATCTGGATTAAAGTCATGTTCTGCTTTGGCATCGGAAGGCGTTTATGACTGTTAAAACAAGAAATGAAAAATATAGGCTTGGAATCAGAGAGGCTGCCTCCTGCCAGACTTTTAGGGGTTTGTCTTGGGGGCCAGGCTGAAGGTTTTCTGCCCCTTCTCTGACTGCTCTGGTGTTTCTTGATAAAGTTGGGGCTGCCTGAATCTGAGCAGCAAACGCAATAGCCTGGGAGGGTCTGTTAGGAAGGAAACCTTTTTCTTTGCTTAGGTGAGCTCTACCAGTCTCTGTTTTCCCCCTCTAGGGAAATGTACACTCTCTGGAGCATTGTTTAAAGGGTTTTCTCACATTGCCGGCACCTGGCTGCACTTGGTCTAGGAGGCAGATGGCTTAGGACTTTTGATTCATCAGGGCTTGGGATGACTTTACATTCCCCCAAATTGCCATTTTGGGCAGGATTTACATAACTGAGATTCCAGCTTTCTTTGGCCTAGTTTTGCCATTTTCTCTATTCCGTTTTGCTTTTAAAGCACACATGCATTGTGTGTGCACACACATGCATACACACACACACACACACACACACACACGCATTTCTTTCCTAATGGTACAAGTTATACATGCTTCATGGAGAACACTTGGAAAGCAAAGGAAAGCACCAAGCGGGGGTCGGGGTGGGGAAGGAGCTGGAAAGCAAAAAAATCACAAGAGAAAATCACTAGACATTTTGACAAAGATTGTTCTAACATGTTTCCTCCTATCCAGCTATCATCTACCTATCCTCTATTTTTATTTTATTATTATTATTATTATTTTGAGACAGAGTCTCGCTCTGTTGGCCAGGCTGGAGTGCAATGGCTAGATCCTGGCTCACTGCAACCTCTGCCTCCCAGTTTCAAGCAATTCTCCTGCCTCAGCCTCCCGAGGAGCTGGGACTACAGGCATGTCCCAACACACCTAGCTAATTTTTGTATTTTTGACAGAGATGAGGTTTCACCATGTCGACCAGGCTGGTCTCAAACTCATGACCTCAAGTGATCTGCCCGCCTCTACCTCCCAAAGTGCTGGGATTACAGGCATGAGCCACCGTGCCTAGCCTGCTTATCCTTTTTAAAAAAGTATGACAGATGACATGCAATTTTGTTGCCTGAATTTATACCTTTCCATTTTTACAGATAATATGTTGTATTTTGTGATAATAATATCAACTACTACTTATTACATACCGAAATTCAGTGCTTAATTCAGAGCCTTTGTAGTCAGAGGGATCTGGGTTCAAATCTCAGTAGGATTCATTTCTCATTGCGTCTTTGGGCAAATGACCTAACTTTGAGGAGCCTGGGTTTCTTATTCTATAAAATGGTGATAAAAATGTTGTTTGCCTCAGAGGGAGGATTGCTGTGAGGATCAAATAAAATTCTGCCAAATAAAGAAAAGCCCGGGAAATGCTTAGGTCCATAGTAAGTGTTCAATAAATTACTGTTCATATTCTTACCACGTGTGCTGTATGTAGGACATTTGTCTGTGTTTTTCTTTTTCGTGATGGTGCTATGTGCAGCATTCTCTCTAAACCAGAACTTTGGGCCCCACAGTATTTGATTCACGGTAAGCAGCTAGATGATTTTAAACTTCTGTCTTCCCCCAAGAACACTCGACAAAATTGGCAGTCTGTAATATGCAAAAATCCACCCAGAAATGGAAGACAGGGACATTTGCACAAGCTGGGTTGTGTCTACAGAATTAGAAGACACAGTTGGACTAATTTTAGTGCCTAAAAATTGGAAACATTGGAATCATGCTCTATGGGAAATGCAAGTTCTTGAAAGTGGCAAAAGGAAACACCAGGAATGGTTGAATTTGGGACCATTCCCTCAAGGTTTGGGCACAATCTTCATCTGTGGGTAGACTCTATTTGGCTGGAAGCTAAAAGGTTAGGCGGGGGAAAGGGTTAAGCATCTTTCAGGTCCTCAGGTTAGGAATGAGGGAGAGATCTCATTCACATTGCCTCTTCATTGTCTTGATTTTCTCGGCTATCTACTTTCCTTTGTCTTGCCATAGATAATTTTGATCCTGTGACCAGGCTCTTTAGTGTTTTGTCCTTTGGGATTTCTGAGAGGAGCGGGCCCCTGTGATTGACCTCACGTGGGCAGACTGCACACAACTCACTTTGTATCTGAGGAGCAGAGTGGGGGCCTAGCTCCCTTTCGTGCAGCCAATCAAGCTGGCGCTGAGAATTTATGAGAGGAAGGCGAACCACTTTGAAGAAAGGCGCCCTTGTCTGCTGCTCCGCCATTGCTCCGTGGTGTGCGTGGGGAGGTGGAGAGGGGTGGGCACGGGGAGAGGGGCTGGCGCCCTGGGGATGGATAAGGGAAGAAAAGAATCCGCGAAACCAGGGTCAAAAGTCTTTCTGTGAACAGGAAAGAAAACTGAGCAGCCTGCCTTCCTCCTTGCAGGTGTGTGCTCACAATGGGGGAGCCACAGACCCTTCCCAAAGGTCAGGGAGGAAGGAGCGCATCACAGCGGCTGCCTGTATTCACCCCCCAATCCACCCACTCCTTGGAGACTGAAGAACTAGAGAGAGCCAGGAAGGCAAGATCACTTCTAGAAGCAATCCTGGCCGCCAGTAATCTAGATGCAATAGTAACTCCGCCGAGTCAGAGAGGCATAGCTTCAAATTCTGGGCTTCTCCCTGGGGAGGGCAATTGCTTCATTTCTCTGAGCGTCAGTTTCCTCATCTGTGAAAAGGGGTGGTTAACAACGGAACCTCCTTCCTCCTTTATCAGGCCGTCGGGAGAAATTTGTAGAAAGCAGTCAGCACAGTGCCTGGTATACAGTAAGTGCTGAACAAGTAGAAGCTACTATTCATAGCAATCATATTTGGTTTCAAAAGAGATATTCTGCTTTCATTAAAGCCAAAAATAAAGGCCATTCATTCAGTCGTTTTTTTCATTCATTTGTTCAGGCAATCAATAAACATTTAACAGGGCCTACTATGTATTGGTGACTTTAATGAATTTGATATTAATAGTAGCTAACGCTTGCTAGGGGTTAGGCTCTGTTTTGTTTTTATTTTTCGAGACAAGAGTCTCACTGTGTCACCCAGGCTGGAGTGTACTGATGCAATCATAGCTCACTGCAGTCTCAACCTGTCTGGCTCAAGCAATCCTCCCACCTCAGCCTCATAAGTAGCTGGACTACAGGCACTCACCACCATGCTTGGCTAATCTTCTCTGACTTTTTGTAGAAATGAGGTCTTACTATATTGCCCAGGCTGGTCTCAAACTCCTGAGCTCAAACAATCCTCCGAAAGTGCTGGGATTACAGGCATGAGCCGCCACACCCGGCCCCTGTTAGGCTCTGTTTTAAACCCTCCATATGTCTTAATTTATATAAGCGTCACGACCACATGGTGAGGTAGGTACAAAGAAGTTGATCATGGCCATGTCACACAGCTAGTAAGATTAGGAGCTGGCATTTAAACCCAGGTGTGCCTACTGCCCAGATCTACGTGGTAAGCACCTTGCTAGTCCAAAACTAATAAATAAAACATGATTCCTGCTGCCTGGGGCACCACAGTCCACTAGAACTTTCTGCTATCATAGAAATATTCCATATCTGCACTGTCCAATATGGTACCCACTGTTGGTAGCTACTGAGGACTTGAAATGAAGCTAATGTGATAGAGAAACTGAATTTTAAATTTCATTTCATTTGTACTAATTTCAACATAGGTTTAAATAGCCACACATGGCTACTGCCAGCATACTGAACAGCCTAGCTCTAGGAACTCAGAGTCTAGTGGAGGAAATTCACCTTCACTGAGGTGGTGACGTTATGCTATGTGGCCCTGTTCAAGCCCCAAGAACATAGGAGGACACAGCTGTGGTGTGGAGAGTGGCCTGGGATCACAGGAGGCTTCCCAGAGACAGTCATCTCTGATCTGAGTCTGCAGGAAGGAGGGGTTGGTAGGAGAGGAAGGGAGGTATTTTTAAATATGTCCAAATATGTTGGATTTCACAACAGGGTCTGTGCTCAGCCAGGACTTTGGTGGAGATTGAAACTTGTAATCAAGAGCCAGAGTCCTCTTTGAGCTACAAGATAACCAGCACTTACCCCTGAAGGATGAAACCGTATTGGATTCAGGAATTTGTCTACTGTTCTTTTTGGCTGCAGGTTTTGCTTGTTTTTGGCTTTTAACCATCACCTCTCTGAGGACATAAAAACACCTGAAAAGCAAATTTGAAAAATTCACTGGTTAGTTTGAATGCTTTGTCAATATCATGTGAAGCAAAATGTCTAAGATCCCCAAACCAGCTCTAGGCAGACAAAAGAGTAGTAATAATCATAAGGATAATGAGGATAATAATGAAAAATAGTTACCACTTATTAAGACACTTTGTGCCAGACCCAAATTTAAGTTAAGTGCTTTTGCGTATTGATCGTCTTGCATACTCCTACAATCTATTCTCTGCACAGCAGCTAGAGTGGCCTTTTTAAGACATAAACCCTAAATCAGATCATGCTAGTCTGCTGCCGAAACCCCTTAAGTGGCTTCACATTGTACTTAGAATAAAATCCAAGTTCCTTGCCCAGGCCTGCAAGGCCTGACCCCAGCCTACAAATGTTCCCATTCTCCACCTACTTACCAAGCTCCAGGCACGTAAGACCCCTCTCTGGTGTAAAGCCCCAAGCTTTTGTCTGCCCCAGGGCCTTTGCACTTGCTGTTCCTCCAATTGGCAACTCAGCTCCCCACCCTAACCCTCTACTAGAATGAAATATGTCGAAGATCAGGGATCTTGTCTCTTAGGTCACTGTTGCATCTCCAGCCCCCTAGGTCAATTTGTCATACGATTGAAAGAATTTGAATCCTCTGTTATGAGGCATTGAAATCAATGCAAATTAAATAAAATTTACAATTCAGTATGAGGTATTATGAGGCATTATTATCCTCATGTAACAGATGAAGACAGTGAAGGTCAGAGTGGTTAATTTGCTCAAAGCCACATAGCTTGTGAGCTTCCCACTATATACCTGGAGGACTCCAACTATTTGCTACTTGTCAGCTATGCTGAGGCTGCACAGCCACCTTGAGAGATGGAAGATCCTTTAGGATGTGGTTTTCCTTCCCTCACTCTGCAAACAGCCCTGCTATGCCTCACTTAGTCCTTCATTGCCAGAATCTCTCTATATAATAAGAAACCTTAGCCTGCAAAACTACTCAATTCCCTTCTGGCTTTTACCGTATGTTTTTCTTTGATTATAAAATAAGTATTATAGAAAGAATGGAAAGTAGAGAAAGAAGATAAAGAAGCTGGTGGAAAAACCACTCGTGACCTCACTACCCAGAAGCAATTCTGTTAGCATTTTGGTTTCTTTTTTTTTTTTTTTTTTTTTTTAAGACGGAGTCTCGCTCAGTCACCCAGGCTGGAGTGCAGTGGTGCCCTCTTGGCTTACTGCAACCTCCACCTCCTGGGTTCAAGCGATTCTCTTGCCTCAGCCTCCTGAGTAGCTGGGATTACAGGCGCATGCCACCACGCCCAGCTAATTTTTGTATTTTTAGTAGAGACAAGGTTTTGCCATGTTGGCCAGGCTGGCCTCAAATTCTTGACCTCAGGTGATCTACCTACCTCAGCCTCCCAGAGTGCTGGGATTACAGGTGTGAGCCACTGCACCCAGCTTCCTTTTTTTTTTTTTTTTTTTAGAGGTGGTTTCTCACTATGTTGCCCAGGCTAGCCTCAAACTCCTGGCCGCAGGGGCTCCTCCTGTCTTGGCCTGCGAAAGTGCTGGGATTACAGGTGTGAGCCACTGCACCTGGCTAAACACAGTTTTGTTTTGTTTTGTTTTGAGATGGAGGCTTGCTCTGTTGCCCAGGCTGGAGTGCACTGGTAGGATCTCGGTTCACTGCAAACTTTGCCTCCTGGGTTCAAGTGATTCTTGTGCCTCAGCATCCCAAGTAGCTGAGATTACAGATGTGTGCAACCATGCCTGGCCAATTTTTGTATTTTTAGTAGAGACGGGGTTTCACCATGTTTTCCAGGCTGGTCTAGAACTCCTGACCTCAAGTGATCTGCTCACCTTGCCTCCCAAAGTGCTGGGATTACAAGCATGAGCCATGGCGCCCGGCCCAAGCACAGTTTTTAAGGCTGTGTTGACGCTTGGTAAAATCCCCTTGGTTGCCTTGTCACCTAGCTTCACAGCCACTAACTCTTCCCAGGATGCAACTGCTGCCACTGTCCCTTCCACTGCAACCAGGAAGTAGGGTGGAAAAGGGCCCAGAATCTGGAGGTCAGAAATCAAGGTTCAAAGACTTAACTATGTGCCCTTAGAGAAATCACGTCTCATCTTCTCTGCAGAATGAAGACGATAGTCCTTGCCTCCGAGAACAGTGAAAGTCAAATAAAAGATCAGATGGGGAGAGTGTGTAGTAAACTCAAAAGTGCTATAAAATTGTTTGGAATTCCTACAATCCAATGAGTTACGACCACAGAGGTTATTTAAGAAGACTTAAAGGTCAGCAGAGCCAATGTTCCCCAGCCCAAATACTCAAAAGGCTTGCTCTTGTTATGAGATGATATATATAAACTGGATTAGCGGGTCCTTTGCTTGCAATAAATCCTTGGGGGTTTGAGAGAGTGGATGTACCCAGCTTGCTAGCTGCCCATCCAGCATCCATGCCTTACCACTTCCTGTCCTAACAGAAACCCTGTTTGAAGCCAGACACTTCGGCTCATGCCTGTAATCCCAGGACTTTGGGAAGCCAAAGTGGGAGGATCAATGGATCCCAGGAAGTTGAGGCTGCAGTAAGCCATGATCACACCATTGCACTCCAGCCTGGGCGACAGAGCAAGATCCTAAAAATTAAAACCCAACCAAACAAACGAAAACCCTGTTTGGGTCAGGCATTCACCCAGTCCCCATTCAGAATGGGACTCAGGGCAAACTAACTCTGCCCTCAGCTGCAGGAGTGGGCCTGATTGGTCAAAAATAATCCTTCCCCTTGCTAGTGATTGGTTCTGGTAGAGGTCATGTGACCCATTCTGGTCACTGAGGTGGGGGACATATGTCAGATAGGGAGCGATCTGGCTCCTAATAAAGTATCCCTGGAAGATATATATATATAGACAGATCTATCTATCTATCTATCTATCTATCTATCTATCTATATACTTTTTTGAGGTAGAGTTTCACTCTGTCACCCAGGTTGGAGGGCAGTGGTGTGATCTCGGCTCACTGCAACCTCCGCCTCCCAGGTTCAAGTGATTCTCCTGCCTCAGCCTCCAGATCCCAGCTGGGATTACAAGCATGTGCCACTACACCCAGCTACTTTTTGTATTTTTAGTAAAGACGGGGTTTCACTATATTGGCCAGTCTGGTCTCAAACTCCTGACCTCAAGTGATCCACCCGCCTGGGCCTCTCAAAGTGCTGGGATAACAGGTGTGAGCCACTGCACCCGGCCGAGGTTTTTTCTCCTTTCTCCGGATGCCACTTTCTCTGGATGCCACTCCAGTGCTCCTTTCTCTGGATGTCGCTCCTTAAAGTGCTGCAGCTGCAGTCTGATAGTCTTGCTACCAGACTGGCAAAGAAGCCAATACGGAGAGAGGAAGTGCAGAGTGGATGATAGTGATGGTAGTAATAACAAAAGCCACAGACATTTATTGAGCATTTAGAACTTGCCAGAGAGTATTCTAAATGTCTGATTTCCTTTAGCTTGGGAGATGGCCTTGCCTGTTTTCATGGCCTATTAACTAGTTTTTGCATTTTTTAAATGGTTAGATAAAAATCAGGCTGGCCATGGTGGTGGCTCATACCTGTAATCCCAGCAACTTTGGGACCCCAAGGCGAGAGGACCGCTTGAGCCCAAGAGTATGAGACCAGCCTGCGCAACATAGTGAGACCCTGTCTCTGCATTAAAATAAAAAATCATCTGGGTGTGGTCATCCCAGCTACTTTGGAGGCTGAGGCGGGAGGATCATGTAAGCCCAGGAGTTAAGGCTGCAGCGAGCCTTGAACATACTCACAAAAACCCTATAAGTTGTTGTGTTATTATTATCCTGTTTTTCACAAATGAGAAAGCTGAGGCTCAGAGACGTTATGCAATTTGTTCAAAGTCACATAGCTATCAAGAGGTTAGCTATTCAATATCATACTGGCTTTGGAACCAGTCTTCTTAATCACTTTGGGAAAAAACCCAATCCCCGGTGTCACTGTTGAGACGTCGAGTCAACCAACTCTAAACCCACCTCACCTTTAGATTTCTAGGTTAAAGGGGCACATGACATTACTGTATTATTGAAGCCAGTTTGAAACTGCATTTCTGCTCTTTGCAGATGAAAGCATCCCCTTGGATGCCATGAGAAAGCACATAAGAAAGGTAAGAGCAGAAAGGTAAGGCAAGCTATCAGCTTCTTGGACCAGCAGCCTTTTGTCCTTGCTTGGAGAATAAAAGCTTTCTTTTTCCAAGCACTTCAAGGCTCCACAAGGTCCCTTTAAAAGGGATTATGAAGGAAATCCTATTTTAGAATTGCTGCTGATTTTGGCAATTTGCAATATTAGCCTGATGAGGAATTACACTCACTAATAAAATATCTCAAGTTGGGTTGAGCCTAATTGTTGCAAGTGTTAGTAGTAATAGCCTGTCACGGGCACTTCTGTGCCGGCGCATCCCTTGCTTGGCTACAGCCCATGTGGAAAATCAATTTCCTCTAAATGTTTGAAGAATGGCACAGAAGGACCTGATTTCTTTTCCCTCTGCTGGAGTCAATCTGGAGACAACGAACTTATAAAATGAATGAAAATAGCTATCGTTGCAGGATGCAGGGTGAATGCCGAGTTAAGCAAAGCCCCATGTCAAGCTCAAAGTTCTAGCTTTTTTGTCCTGAGGCCAGAGACAATATACGTTTGTGTCCCGAACTGACGTGCTGTTAAAAAGTCAAAGAAAAGAAAGAATTTTACTTCAGCCCAGCAATTTCACTTCTAGGAATCACTCCCACAGAAAAACTCCCACCAGTATGCAAGAATATATGAACAGGGTGTTCCTCACAGCCTGGCTTGCGATGGTGAAAAATTGGAGGCAAGATAATTATCTGACAAGAGTGGACTGGTTAAATAAATGGTCATATATCCATGCTTTGTAGCCATTAAGAAGAAAGTGATAATCTGTACGTATTCCTGTGGAAAGCTTTTTCTGATATAGTGTTGAGTTTTAAAAAAAGCAAGTTGAAGCCATATATATATATATATCATGTAGAGTATATGTAGTTGTAGCACTATATATAGTATGAGTTCATTTTAGTAAAAAACCCCAAAACTTCAACAATGATATGCACATTTATATGTAGATCTTCGTACATGAGTAGAGAAAGGTCTGAAAGGATACACACCAGGTTGTAGATGGTGGTGATTAAACCCAAGGATAGAAATGGTAAGAGGGGAGATGTCCCTTCTATATTGTTTAGATGTTTTACAACAGGGCATATGGCTTTGGTAATAAAAAAAAAAGAAAGGAAGAAATTGGCTGTTCAGCTTGTCAGAATAGCATTGTACTAGATGTACCACCATTTCTGAGGAAAGGGAGGATCAGGCCTTGACTCCACAGGGCTGGCAATATAATCTAGCCACACATGCAAGTCTGTTACACAGCCTAGTCTGATACTTTATAGCTCTTTCTAGTCAATAATCACCATGAAGGGACTTAATCCTTAGCTACCTGCCTACCAAATCAGAACCAAGTTCAAACTTCCTGGGGCCAAGGCCAGAATTTAAAGATTTACTTTTTTAAAAAATTGGGAAAATACACATAACATAAAATGTACCACTTTAAATTATGTGATTTATTGGCATTCAGTACATTGGCAATGTTGAGCAACCATAAGCACTATCTCATTCCATAACTTTCTCATCATCCCAAACAGAAACCTTGTGACCATTAAACAGTCACTCCCCAATCCTTCCGTACTGCAGCTGCTGAAAATCACTAAACTGCTGTCTGTCTCTATGGTTTGGGCTGTCATGCACATTTCATATAAATGAAATTATATAACATGTGGCCTTTTGTGTCTGGCTTCTTTCACTTAGCACCATGTTTTCAAGCCTCATCCATGCTGTAGCATGTATCTGCGCTTCATTCCTTTTTATGGCTGAATAATATTCCATTGCATGGATAGACCACAATTTGTTGATCCGTTCATCATGTGATGGACATTTTTGATGTTTTTATCTTTTAGTTACCATGAGTAATTCTGCTATGAATATTCCTGTATGAGTTTTTGTTTGAACACCTGTTTTCAGTTCTTTGGGGTGTATATGGAGGAGTGGAACTGTGAGGTTCTATGGTAATTTTATGTGTAATTTATTAAGATTTGCCTTTAAAGTTCCAGAAGCCTCGTCTTCTGACCATAGAGGACATGCAGTGAGTGGGAAAAACTTCCCCTGAGTTTCTCGATTATGTCCCCTGAGTCTAGGTAGTTAAGTACATAGATGAAGATAATTGCTATGTAATTATCTTATCTATACTTAAAAAATCATCTGCTAAAATTCCACTTCTTTTAGAGTATTCCAAATATTTCCTTTTTTTCCCTCTATCACCTATTTGTCCCAGAGCACCAAATATTTCTATTACATGTGAATTTGGGGAAGCTGTTAGTCAAAATACATTAATTAGGGCTGGGTGCAGTGTCTTACGCCTGTAATCCCAGCACTTTGGGAGGCTAAGGTGGGCAGATCACTTGAGTCCAGGAGTTTGAGACCAGCCTGGGCAATGTGACAAGACCCCGTCTCTAGAAAAAGTACAAAAATTAGCTGGGCATGACGGTGCATGCCTGTACTCCCAGCTCCTCAGGAGGCTGAGGTAGGAGGATCACCTGAGCCTGGGAGGTTGAGGCTGCAGTGAGCCATGATTGCACCACTGCACTCCAGCCTGAATGACAAAGTGAGACCCTGTCTCAAACAAAATAAATCAATAAACAAAATACATTAATTAAATGATTAATTCAGAATTTCTCATGTAAAAATCCTGTTTTGCACTTGTGGAAAATCAACACTTCTGATGATTCCTAGCACAATGGGCATTAACACTGAATTCGTCAAATGTCAGACCAGGTCTTGCAAGGTAAGCAGGGTCTTGAAATGGGCTTTTACTGGACAGTAACCTATGATAAAGAGTGGGCCTAACTTATAATTGCTGCGAACATAGCAGGTAAGTTGCTTTGGATGTAGGACCTGGGCTGAAGCCCAACTCTGCCAGTAATTAACTTACCTTAGGAAAGGTAAAGGGTTAGGTACACCCTTATGAGCCCTCAGTTTCTTCCTCTGTAATGTGGAACTGATTATAGGACATACTTCATGGGTCATTCATTTATTCATTCATTCAGTAAATATTTATTGTATACCTATGGTGTGCCCCATGCTATTCTTAGTGGTTACTAAAACAAACAACAGTAAACATAGTAAGTAATTATAAGATAGATGGTGATATGTTTTATAAGAAAAGGTAGAACAGGAGGGCCAAGGGAAAGGCTGGATTTTCTTATTTATTTATTTTTTAGAGACAGGGTCTTGCTCTGTTGCCCAGGCTGGAGTGCGGTAGCACAATCACGGCTCGCTGCATGAACTCCTGGGCTCAAGGGATCCCCTGACTGTAGCCTCCTGAGTAGCTGGGACTACAGGTGTGTGCCACCATGCCCAGCTATTTATTTATTTATTTATGGCAGAGATGGGGTCTTGGCATGTGCCACCATACCCAGCTATTTATTTTATTTATGGATTTATTGATTGATTGATGGTAGAGATGGGGTCTTGATGTGTGCCACCATGCCCAGCTATTTCTTTATTTATGGTAGAGATGGGGTTTTGCCATGCTGCCCAAGGTGGTCTTGAACTCCTGGGCTCAAGTGATCCTCCTGCTTTGGCCTCCCAGAGTGCTGGGATGACAGGCGTGAACCACCGCGCCTGGCCTAAAGACTGAAGTTTGAAAAGCACGGTCACGATAGGCTCCACTAAGAAGGTGACATTTGAACAAAGCCTAGAGGAAGAAAGGGCATAAGTCACGTGGGTATCTTGTGGGTAAGGAACAGGGAGTCCACAGGCCCTGAGGCAGGAATGTTTGGCCCTGTTCATGAAAACGCAAAGAGACCAGAGTGCCTGAACCAGTGCGCGCAAGGGCGAAAGGAGGAGTTTTGGATTCAACTTTGAGCCAGATGGGGAGCCCTCGGAGGTTTATGACCTGAGCTGACTTGTATTTCATATGCATCATTCAGTCTGCTGTGTTGAAAAATAGACCACAGACAGACAAGGGCAGCAGCAGGGAGGCCAGTGAGGAGCCTCCCGCAATCATCCAGGTGAGAGAAGATGGGAGAGCTTGGACCAGTAAGGTGGCATGGAGGTGCTGAGAACTGGTCGGGTTCTGAATACATTCTGCAGGTAGAGCCAACACAGTTTCCTGTTGGGAGGATTAAATAAGATAACAGGGGCAGAGCTCTGCGCACAGAGCCTGCATGTAGATAGTACAGAATAATGGCAGCCACAATTATGATCAAGGTGGGTATAGTGTGTTCCCCTGCAGGAGCGGATCAGAAGCTAAAAAGAAACTGAGCAAGGGAGAAGCTATTAAGGTTCCCATGTGGTTTGCAGTGAGTTACAAAGGCCATCAAAGGTAACAAGGCGTTCACACAACGCCGAAAAGGGCTTTCGCAGTATCCAGAGAAACAGGGAGCCGAAAGCAGCAAAGCCACATCATTTAGACCAAACTAGAGACTTTAGAACCAAGTTTTTCGGATAATTGCAAATACATCTTCTTTTGTATTAGGTTGGTAAAAAAGCAATTGCAGTTTTGCATTAAAAGTAATGGCAAAACTGCAGTCGCTTTTGAACCAGCCTAATAGTATATGGAAAGCAACATCAGTCAGGAAAACTGTTTCTAGATTCCCTGGCTTTAGAAATATTTACTGGCAATAATATCATGGCAGCTCAGGTATTTAGTTTCAGGTTTTTAGGTGAACTGCCCAACTTCAGGATTCCTTTCAGGAAGAAGACCCAATTGCCAAGAGACGATTGGATTCCTTTCAACTCAACTTCTCTCTGTTCCAAATTCCAGCGACAAGCGGTCTGTCTGAGGATGATAGAGATGGATTTCTCCAGGGCAATGCCAACCTTGCTCCTCCTGCCTCTAGTAATCAGACCTCCAGTTTATGTTCTGCCAAACTCTTCCCATTGGACATCTGGCCCCAGCAGGGAGAAACACAGACCAAGGCACTTATTTTGGCTTTGACGTCAGCAAAGGAAGGCTGATGAAATTCATCATCAGCGCAGATGAAAATCCACCGAGCCCTATCTCTCTTCCTTACACCGCCTCCGTTTCGAAAGCTGACAGAGGTCTCGCTTTCCTTTTGTTTTCATTTTGCTCTGGATTAAGGTTTGAATTTTTTTTCTATAGTTAATTAGAAGATAATAACGCCAGCGAGCTTATTGTTAATTATTTGTATCTGTACTTAATACTTAAAAGTGTACTCAGTTCTCGCGAGCTAATATTTGGCTTGTCAGATGCATTAGTCATTGTAATTAATTGAGCCCATATACATTTACTGGGGCTGTGGGTAGAGTTATAAAAACAGCGGCAGATATGAAATGTCTCCACTATCTTTTGCTTATCGCTAAACAGAGAATTTGAGGGAAGCGAATCCTTCTTGCAACCTTCACTCGTCACCTGGCTGACTTCTTTCCTCGTTCCTCCCTAGAGGGTCTTCTCTTTAAGACCCTCTATATCCTCTCTTTCTCTCGGCTCCTGTTAATTTCCTTTGGAACATCAGGCCCAGCTGCTTTGTTCATGGGGCCCAGTGCAAAATAAAAACACAGAGCCCCTCGTTCAAAAACTATTAAGAATTTAAACATGGCGATGGCAGAACATTAAACCAAGCCTGGGCGCACCTGTGATTGCACAGGGTGCGTGCCCATCAAGCTGGTTCTGCACACCATTGACTGCCTTTGTCCTTTCCCCAAAAGGGAGCTCCCCCACCAGAATGTGACCCATCCCTCTTCTCTACAGCTAGAACAGTGTGCAGCACGCAAGAGGGGCTCAAGAAGTGGGCAAAACAATTTTCCAAATGCAAACTTGAAAAACGCAAAGTGTAGCCATGCCACTCCCCTGCTTAACATCTCCCATGGAAGGGGCAGAGGGAAGTTTCTGGAGGAATGGAAATGTTCTCTACCTACACCTGTAGAGGGGTGGTGGCCACACAGGGGTATACACCCGTCAAGACTCATCAAACTGTAGACTTAAGAAGAGTCTGTTATACTATGTATAATTATACATCAATAAAAAATAGCATGCTTACAAAAACCCCAATATCTCCACGTTATCCTCAAGGTAGTCTATTCTCCCTCATATGTCACACAAGGTCCTTCCCCAGGGGCTCATTCTGAGTCTTGCAGCCTCACCTCCAGCACTTCTGTGGCTTCCTGTTTTCCAGCCATGGTGACTGCCAGCATGTCCCAGGCCTACGTGCCGTCTTACTCAACTGCTCCCCAGCCCAGGAGTTAAAAAAATCAAAATACGTGTCACCCTGTAGGGCACCAGCACCAACTGAAAGGGACTAAAGAGCAGGAATGGGGCAGAGTCCCAGAGCCTCTTGCTGTGCCAAATGTTAACCCTTTAGTGTCTGCATCGTGGGGAAGTGGGCAGAGATCCAAGAGAGAGGAGGTAGGGAGGGGGCCGCTCGGTGGGCTCTGGGCCCTCACTGTTTACCAATCAATATGGAGGTGATCAAATATTTAACCTGGCGTAGTCACATTGGCGTGAGCCTGCTGAACATCAACCCACCACCTAAAATGTGGGCCGGGCCAGGCCAGGCGCAGTGGCTCACGCCTATAATCCCAGCACTTTGGGAAGCTGAGGCAGGTGGATCACCTGGGGTCAGGAGATCGAGACAAGCCTGGCCAACATGGTGAAACCCCACGTCTACTAAAAATACAAAAATTAGCTAGGTGTGGTGGTGCACACCTGCAGTCCCAGCTACTTGAGAGGCTGAGGTGGGAGGATTTCTTAAACCCGGGAGGTAGAGGTTGCAGTGAGCTGAGGTCACGCCACTGCACTCCAGCCTGGTCAATAGAGCGAGACTCTGTCTCAATAAATAAATAAAATGTGGGCCAGCCCTTCCTTCTCTGGCTGACATCTACCTCTTCCTTCAAATCTCAACTCAAGTGTCTTCTCCAGGAATCCTTGGCGGCTCCGTCTCTTCCTTGGTCTCTCTTGCATTTGCCATACTGTCCTGGATTAATTGATATACATTCCAGTCTTAATCTCTGGAAGGTAGGGACTATGAGTAGGGCAAGGTGCCTGGCACACACACACTCAGGGGCACACACATGGATGAAGGGATTTTCCTGTTGGCCTTCCTGGCACGTAGCGCAGATACTATAGAAATGGATGAATGAATGGATGAATCAGTGAATTTCTTCTTTGCTTTATCTATATTTACTTTAATTGAAACAGTGGCAATTCTTGAGACATGGGCTTGGAGAGAGTGTATTGCAGCAACTAAGATCTCAGACTCCGAACTCAGGCAACCTGGAGGGATTCTAGCGCTTGCCGTTCGTCAGTTCTGGGTGTGTGACTTGGCCTCCCTGAGTACCAGATCAGGTCATTATTGATCTGACTTCACAGGGTTGCTGAGGAGCTCTAAGCACTTAGCCCTCAGCAGCTCTGACTGTAAGAGAAATTGTATCTTGTTCACCATGCAGCCTGAATCGGTGGATGTGGTCGCCAGATGCCAGGAGAAGTCACCTGCCATTTGCAGCCATCCTCAAGTAAGCATCTTTGGTTTTACCTTCCATCTACCCAGTCTCTTGAGTCAGATGATTGCACAGCAAAAATGAAATATCCCTGTGATAAGAATATATGACTGGCAGATGTTACTGAACTGAAATCTGTGAGACAGTGAAAATGGATATTTTCTCATTTGCCTCCAACTTCCTGGTGTCTCTGCTGGAAGGTACCAGTTTCAGCCATGAGAGAGAGAGAGAAAGAGGGAGAGGGAGACAGAGAGAGAGAGAGACAACGAGTGCTGAGGGGAGTGATCCTCAGCTTCATCAGGTGATCAGGTGAACCAACTTGTGGATTACCTTCCCAATCAAAAGCCTGCTTTCAGCCTTTCTGGAAATTCTGTGCAGGAATAATTCTTGGCTAAACATAGCATAAATTGTCCCATCACCCCAGACCTCCACTTCCTTCCAAACCTCAGCTTCTTAACCAAGTCCTACATTTCCAAGAAAAGGCATTTTAGCATCCTGCATAAAAACTCAAGACTCCAGAGCCTGAAAGACTGAAAGTTCAATCCCACATTTACCCATTCCTGGCTGTGAGATCTTAGGCAAGGCTCTTAACCTCTCTTCCTCTCTTAGTTTTATTTTCTTCCCCTGTCCAGTGAGGAAGAACAGTATCTCTGTTGCAGGGTACCTGTGAGGACTATGTGACACTTACTAAGTGGCAGGATTTGGTGAGAGTTTCTTAAATATTGGTTTGATACTCACTGGTTTCAAAAAAGGATATGGAATGGTGGAAATATTTTTTTAATTCTATAATGATCCCTGCAGATCTGCAAAATTGGAAAGACTCTTATTGAATGAATCACCTCATGTGCCACTGGCATCTTTCTGCACGGTAGACTGAAAAATGGCCTCCCAAAAGATTCAGGTTCAAATTCCTAGAACCTGGGGATGTGACTTTATTCAGAAAAAAGAGGCCAAGCCTGGTGGCTCACACCTGTAATCTCAGCACTTTGGGAGACTGAGGCAGGAGGACTGCTTGAGGCCAGGAGTTTGAGACCAGCCTGGGGAACATAAGAAGAACCCATCCCTACAAAAAATAAAAAGGTTAGCTGGGCATGGTGGTGCATGCCTGTGGTCCTGGCTACTCAGGAGGCTGAAGCAGGAGGATAGCTTGATCCTGGGAGGTTTAGGCTGCAGTGAGCCTTGATGGCACCACTGCACTCCAGCCCCGGTGACAGAGTAAGACCCCATCTCTAAAACAAAAGGAAAGGAAAGGAAAACGATATTTACAGGTATGATTAATTAAGGAGCTTGAGATGAGACCATCTTGGATTAAGATCAGCCTTAAATCCAATAGAGATGCCTTTATAAGAGACTATAAGGGGGGAAGACACGCACAAAGGCGAAGGCCATGGAGGCAAAGTTGAGAGACATGCAGCCACAAATCAAAGAAGCCAGCAACCACCAAAGCTGGAAGAGGCAAGGAAGGCTTCTTCTAGACCCTTTGGAGGGAGAACGGCCATGCTGATGCCTTGATTTTAGACTTCTGGACTCCAGAGCTGTGAGAGAATAAATGTCTGTTGTTTTAAGTCACCTAGTTTGTGATAATTTGTGACAGAAGCCCCAGGAAACTGATACATCCTATAGCATCTTTAATGGAGAATGCAACCACTTGATTATACTGGGCAGTTCTAAGGATGAAGAAGATGATTCTGTAACATGTGTGCCTTGAGCATTTTGGTAGAAGCCAGCATGGGGCCCTGACAATCTAATCATTTAGAGTAGACAGACTTTTTTTTTTTTTTTTTTCTGGACACAATCTCACTCTCTTGCTCAGGCTGAAGTGCAGTGGCTCGACCTTGGCTCACTGCAACCCCTGCCTCCCAGATTCAAGCGATTCTCCTTCTCAGCCTCCCAAGTAGCTGGGATTACAGACGCACTCCACCACACCCAGCTGGTTTTTGTATTTTTAGTAGAGATGAGGTTTTACCATGTTGGCCAGGCTGGTCTCGAACTCCTGACCTCAAGTGATCCGCCTGCCTTGGCCTCCCAAAGTGCTGGGATTATAGGCGTGAGCCACTGCACCCAGCCAACTAGACAGACTTGTGTTCAAATTCCAGCTTCCCCTTGAATAGCTGTGAAATCTTGGACAAGTTACTCAACCTCTCTGAGCCTCAGGTTCTTCGTATGGGAAACAGGGGTAGTGCTTTGCCTACCTCGGGAGATAGGGGGATGATTCATTAGCTATGCCTGGTATGTACCTGGCATGCAGAAATTGTTTCATGAACGTCTGCTGTGATGGCAAACCTTTCGGGTAGATCCATCTAGTTTCTCACGCGTGCGGCAAGCGGCTGCCGTGTTTACCGACCGTCCTGTGACTGTGGGGACTGGCAAAGCTAAATGGCCTGAGTGGGTTGAACTGTGGCCGCACCTGGTTAGCACCGTTCTTTTTCTTCTTCTGAAGGAAAGGCGTGGCTGTTCCGAGGTGCCTTGTGAAATAGCCAGCCGTCCTGGGCTGCCCTTTCACTGTTCCTGCTGAAGCCAAAGGTGCCAGAAAAGCCTAGACATTGAGCTCCGCGCTCCCCAGTCGTGACTCTGTGTCTACGACGAACTTTCTAAAGGCAGTGGCTTATAAACGAGCAGTACTGACTCCATGGCGGTTCCATCTACTTCCCGAGTGTGTCTGTGTTCAGAGCGCTCCGCCATCCACAACCTTCCTACTGACTGGTTAGAAGGAGTACCTCCTTTCCACTCACTTAAAAGGACATTTTTCCAATGAGAGCAGGTCATATTTCAGACTGCATTGCCAAGGTACCAGGAGCCAGTAAAAGGGGGCATTTAAAACGGTATTTATCTTGACTGGCAAAACAGGTCATGGCTGTAAAAGAAACAGCTCTGGAGAAGGAGGCAGCCTCGCCGACTCTGGGCTCCCTCTCCCTACCCCCCCTCCCCACACTGTTTAAAGCATTCTGGAGCCGCTGCCAACTTTCCTGGCAAAGCTCTTATTTCTTTACATGTATGTTGCATTCCATCTGTTTAATGTGCGTTCTGTGCCATTCACGGATTTTGGCAAGGTCTGGCGAGGTGGCATGGCACGCTCAGGCTTGTGCTAAGCCAAACAGGGCATGGGGGAGAGAGGGACTGGAGGCCGACGAAGGAGTCCCGCTTCTCCCTCTGGCTCGGGGAGGCCTGGAGTTGCAAAGACGGAATAGGAATTGCATAGCAGTTTTCCTCCAGACGTGATTGAATCGTGCGTGTGCCACTGTTGCATTTCACCCTCCACAGAGGGGTTTCGGGGTGCGGTTTTGCAGTTTCTGAAACACAGCCAGAAAAATCGAAATGATGAAGAAAGGTAACAGTAGGGAAACCCACTCGTACTCATGGATCTGGGGTTTCCCTAGAAACACTGCAAGGCCCGGAAGGCCAGAAAATGCTAACACCTGGATCCGATAGTCCCGACGCCTAAAGAAAAATTGATCTCAATCTTTGCATTATTCTCAACAACCATTAAGTACTTGGTTGGTGAAGCGGAGGCAACGTGCTGTGATTTGGATCCAATTTCATCCACTTGGAAGACAGGAAAGCCAGGTTTTATCCACTGCCAAAACATCTGGTGAATTCAGTTAAAAAAAAAAAAAAGCACCAGTTTGGTGGGGGAGAAAACAAAACCCTCTAGAAACAGTTGTTGGGTATTGGGCGACCAAAATCATTCTGTTGATTGACACCCAATGTTCACTTTTCCGTTGGTTGCTGGTTGAGTAGAGCTTTTCAGAATGGGGAAAGCAAGACTTAGGCGAGAGAAAGGCAGATGACGGGGTTAAAAACATGAACGTTCACACTTTAAGAAAAAGTTAAGTGCACATTTCTTGAGTCCAGCCAAGAAAATGAACAGAATCTCCCTGTTAAGAAGTGGAGTTACTCACCTGATTGAAGAGAGATGACACGGCACAGGGGAAAAAAAAAAAAAAGGTACAGGCTCCTAATAAGAAACAGCCGCATGTGGGATAAAATTAGTGCAAGTTGTATAATCCCAGTTGGCCAGTTGTAAGAACAGGGAGGAGAAAGGAGCAGGGGGAACATGTTTCAGATGTGATTCAAGAGGTCCTGGAGCCCGTCCTGACCCTCTGGGTTGGAATTTCTGACTCTCTTCTCTGCCTTGACTCAGAATAGGAAACCGAATCCTGACCGCGCGTTTCTTTTTATAGAATTAAACTTTCTTGCCAACTTCCTCCAGAGCACAAGATTACCCCTCATCGTCTCTAAACAATACGCCAATCATCAGATGGAAGTGAGGGGGTGCACTGTCCTATTTGCACCAAACATAACCCAGGCCCCCGAGCAGAAGACAAACAACAGGAACAGAGTTTGGCTTTTGTACTGGGCCTGGTAAATACAACATGTTCTTACAGGTTGGAAAACCGTCTGGTTCCTCTTTGTACTTTCCCACTTTCTCCCACTTCTTCTAACTTGAATCTCATCGTTCTGCTTCGACATTGGCCAAGTTCACATTTGCCAGTTGCCGAGTGGATAATGGATGGTTTGTAAGATGAGTCGTATGCTAGGGAGACAGGCAGCTGAATGTATACTGTCTGTGTGAGCAAATGACTTCTTTTGAACCTGAATCCCCACCCGGCCCCATAGGCCATCCATGTGCTGATAGACATTGAAGAAGATGACAACAGAATGACTTAATGCCCATTCATTCAGTCGTCATATTTGTGCTGGCGAGGGAAACCTGCAGAAGCTCCCTTGCCCTGATAATCAGTTAGGAGGGGTCAGTCCTTGTGTGTAAGGTATGCTGGTGCTTGGAAGCCCAAAGGGGACATTAATAGAATGCAAAGTGTTTGGTAGTCCCTCATTAAAAATGGATTTTGTTTTCAGTGCTTTGAGGATGGGAATAGTGAAGTTGGAAACTGTGCTTGTAATTGGGAGCAGGTCTCCTGCCAGATTCTAACAGCTTTAAGGGATATCCAGTTTTGGGTTTACAGTACTACATTCTGGCTCATTGAAATTGCATCTAAACGTTGCCAGAATGTGTCATAAACTACAAAATCTGTACAAAAATATATTGACATAATGACTCTGTAGCCTTAAGTCAGAGGGGTGGGGGAGCCATGTGGCCCCATCAGCATTGTTCTTGCTCTGTCTCACAGCAGACTTGGGTCACCTGGGACAATTACCATTCATGGGATTCCGACCCTGGTCTGACCAGTTCTCTCAGCTGCTTAGAACAGCCTCACCCTGTCCCATGGTCACAAATAGCATCCCTGCCTGTGCCACACCAGATAAGGGGCTGGGGATCAAGCCCAGCAGAACCGTTCCCACTTGTTCCTAGAATAAAGTCCCTCATGTCCTGCTGGCCTCACCATTCTCAGTTCTGATCACTCTTCGCTCGCTGAACTCCAGACACAAAGCATCTTCTTTTTTTTTTAGACAGAGTCTCGATCAGTTGCCCAGGCTGGAGTGCAGTGGTGCAATCTTGGCTCAGCAACCTCTGCCTCCCATGCTCAAGTGATTCTCTTGCCTCAGCCTCCCCAGTAGCTGGGACTATAGGTGCCCACCACCACACCCGGCTAATTTTTGTATTTTTAGTAGAGATGGGGTTTCATCATGTTGGCCAGGCTGGTCTCGAACTCCTGACCTCAAATGATCCACCCGCCTCGACCTCCCAAAGTGCTGGGATTATAGGCGTGAGCCACCATGCCTGGCCAACTCTGCATTTCTAACAAGTTCCCAGGGGATGCTGATGCTGCCGGTCCATGGACCACGCTCTGAGTAGCCACGGTACCAACCTTTCTCAATCAGAGTTCCATGATAAAATAAAGCCTGACTGAAAATGAATTGAGCCACTACTCTCTCTGTTCACCTAAGGATGGTGCCTAACTAGAGCCATTGGCTAGAAGTTAATTCATTACATATCTTACATGCCTTAGGGTAGGTGGTTTTGTTTGTTTGTTTTAATTTTTATTCTTTTAGAGACAAAGTCTTACTCTGTCCCCCAGGCTGGAGCTGGAGTGCAGTGGTGTGATCATAGCTCCCTACGACTTCCAACTCCTGGGCTCAAGAAATCCTCCCATCTCAAACTCCCAAGTAGCTGGGACTACCGGTGAACCTAACCATGCATGGCTAATTTTTTATTTTTTAATTTTTGGTAGAGATGGGGTCTTGCTATGTTGCCCAGGCTGGTCTTGAACTCCTGGACTCAAGCGATCCTCCTGCCTCAGCCACCCAAAGTGATGGGATTACAGGTGTGAGTCTCTGCGCCTGGCCCGGGCAGGGTCCTTACTACTGACTTTTGGGCTGGAGAAATCTTTATTGCGGGGGCTGTCCTGTGCATTGTAGGATGTTTGGCAGCACCCCTGGCCTCTACCAACTAAATGCCAGCAGCACCATCCCCAAGTTGTGACAACCAAAAAATGTTTCCTGACATTGTCCAAGTCCCCTGGCGGGCAGTGTTGTCTCCCCCATTGAGAACTACCATCTTTACACGTTAGGGTGTCATTCTCTGGCAGTACCAGGTTGAGAGGGGTTGGGAAGTTGAAGACAGTGTTTTGTTCATGGCTATAATTCTGTTGCTTAGCACAGTACTCTGCCTATGGCAGACCCTCAATATGTGTTTGTTGATTGATTGAATGAATGAATGAATAAATGAAAATAAATGAATGAAAATGAACTCCAAAATCATGCTTGGCTCATGGGTAAATAGAACTCTCTTCACACAGCCTCCAACCTCCTCCACCCCACTCTCCTCCCCCCAACCTCAAATCAGTGGGCTTGTTGTCATCTAAGGCACAATTTTTCTAAATGTAGCATTTTCCAGGGTAAATATCCCTTTGAAAAAAATGTGAAGAAAAATTCTCGCTTGAGATCTTTTTTTAAATGTCTCCAATGACTAAAATCCTCTTACAGTAAGTACCCAGAGAATTGCATTTGCTTAAAGAAAAAAAAAAAAAAAACTGCCGTTTTTAGTCAAGAATGTAGAAAGTACTTGAAAATCATATACTTTTCCCCCCCATCTTACTGAGCAAATTATAAAATGGTAAAATTGATTTTAGTTCTAGATTGTTTTTAAAGCTCCACCTCAGACTGAGGCCTCATGGATAAAGTGGTACTAGGGACTTATCTGGAAAAAAAAAATCCCTATAGTAATAACACTGGAAATTCAAGGAGGAAAAACAGTAGTCACAGGGTTTTTGATTTGTTTTATTTAGGGGAGTATCTTATATGATTTCAAGAGGAAAATTACATATAAATAAGATCTACATTTTGCTTAAAACTATGGATTCAGACTGTATTAAAAAATACGATTAAACCAAGCATGGTGGCTCACACCTGTAATTCTAGCACTTTGGGAGGCCAAGGTAGGTGAGTCACTTGAGCTCAGAAATTTGAGACCAGCCTGAGCAACACAGCAAAACCCCGTCTCTACAAAAAATACAAAAATTATCTGGGCGTGGTGGTGCGTGCCTGTAGTCCCAGCTACTTGGGAGGTTGAGGTGGGAAGATCGCTTGAACCTGGCAGGTGGAGGTTACAGGGAGCCGAGATTGTGCCACTGCACTCCAGCCTGGGCAACAGAGCTAAAGCCATCCCCCATCTCAAAAAAAAAAAAAAAAAAAAAAGGTGAATTCACTCAATGTATATGTTTCCACACACTCAGTAACTCTGAGGCAAGTTTTCAAACCAAATTGCCATGTAGAAAGCAAAGCCAACTTCTCCCTCTTCTCTTCTAAACCTTTGCGCCAATGAGCAGGCTGAGCTCTCAATTACTCAGGGCAGTTGAGTGAGATTTGGAGCACTGAAAAGGTTTCTGGAAAAGAATACGGTGGTGACAACCTTTCCGTGCTCTTCTACGTATATCCTTCTTTACCTAATAGAGGTTAAAAATCATTTCTATTTTGCATGCTTACCCTGACATCATCTTGTCAGTGACTGCCTGAATGGTTCTGGGCAAATATTGTGACTCCAAGTCTGGGTTCTCTATGTGGGGAGGGGAACGGTGCTGTGATTGACTGGTAATGTCCGCCATGAGGAGGGCCATGGAGAGTGGTGGATGGTCTGTGTATTTGCCATTCCTGGATCCTGGTATAGTCTTCTCTTCTATCATAGCTGTTCTAGTAGAAGGAGAACTTCAAGGAGAAGGTGCTGTGCTTCTGAGGATAATGTGTCTCACTCCATTTCATACAGATACACCAAGTCAGCATTTCAATTCACGAAAGCTCCCAAGACAGATGTGAAACAGAAAGACGCCATTGTGGGAAAATCCCTTCCCTTCTCTGGACATATCTAAATAGGCTGTTATATGTGTGACTCCCTCTCAGGGTAAGTATGGCTAAGACATGCTATGTCCCTTCATTGGGTTACTCTACATTTGACTCTGTCACTGTGACACTATATGCTGCCAAAACATCACATCCCTTCCCTTGGAACAAAAAGGTCTTTTCATAAGACTTATTAAGTCTGAACATTAATCATATTCATCATTATTCAGTCTGCCTGCTGTCCACAATACTTAAATGAAGGGAAATTTTAAAAATAGAAAAAGACAAGTTTAGGAACTTCAAGACAATGATGAGAAAGGAATGATGGGGAAGAAAGCAATGGTGACCAAACCTATATTAAAAAATCTTAAATAAAAAAAATTAACAAATAGACTCTTAACTTTCAATATTAGTCTTTATTTCAAAAATAAGAGGAAGAGTGATTAAAGAGATGAATTCACATTTGAATAGGGTCCAAATGACTTAAGGACTATTTGGATTCAAATATTTCAGTTGGACCAGGAATGATGTTAGAGTTATGTGAGGCATTAGGGGTTGAAGTGAAATGGAAATCTTTCTTTCATTTAAAAGCAATTTTCTTGCTTTTGTGGGCCTTGAGAGTTTTCTAGGCTATGCAGGCCAACGAGCCTCCAACTCCCTTGCCTTGGACTCATGAACTCCCATTTCAGATCCAGCCTGTTAGGAGGAAGTAGAGTTTCTGTTTGTGACAGTTCCTTTTGCAGAAATCATGTGGTGCAAGAGAAGATTGTCCATATAGAGCTGAACAGTTGTTAGTTTTGAATCCAAATTAGAAAGTTTCTGCGCTAGGGCTGGGCATGGTGGCTCACACCTGTAATCCTAGCACTTTGGGAAGCCAAGGTTGGAGGATCACTTGAAGCCAGGAGTTAGAGAGCAGCCTGGGCAACATAGCGAGACTTATCTCTACAAAAATTAAAAAAAAATTAGTGGAGTGTAGTGGCATGTACCTGTAGTCCTAGCCACTTGGGAGGCTAAGACAGGAGGATCTCTTGAGCCCAGGAGTTTGAGACTGCAGTGAGTCATAATATCACACCACTGCACTCCAGCCTGGGCGACAGATGTGAGACCCTTCTCTTAAAAAACAAAACAAAAAACAAACAAACAAGAAAGTTTTGGTACTAGTGATACAGTAGAATCACACCTGATTTTGGTTCTGGCTTCAGAGCCTCTCATGTAAGATGCCACCATGAGAACGATCACTGGTGAACAGGGTGAAACAGAAAGTGCTTTGCTTGGAAAGACAGGAAGCAGGTGGTGAGTTCTTCTCCACCACATTTCAAAAACAGAGTGTATGTAGTAGGCCCCATCAAGCAAGCTTTAACCTCAAACCCATTAGATGTTTATTAAGCACCTACTGTGTGCCAGGCCCTGTGCTAAGGGCTTTTATATATGGCATCTAATTAAACCCCAGGACAAACAGAAACATCCTAGCAGACTCTACCCATCCCTCATTCCTAAGTGTGGCTTGATAGTAAGGCAGAGCTTTTCAACCTTAGCACTACTGGCATTCAGGTTGGATATTTGTTCTTGGGGGCTGTCCTGTACACTGCACGATGTTGAGCAGCATTGCTGGCCTCTACCTACTAGACGCCAACAGCATACCTTGCTCTAGGAATGACAATCAAAATGTCTCAAGACATTGTCAAATGTCCTCCAGGGGACAAAAATTGCCCCTACTTGAGACTCACTTCCTTAGAGACAGAATGGTTGCAATGCCCAGGCAGCTGTAGGTAAACATATCTTTCACTCCCTTCAGTGGTCTGACTCAGTGGTTCTCTAACCTGAATGTGTTATAAACAATATCATATACACCCTACTTTATGGGAAGAGAATTTTCAAGGGTAATTTGACCCCATTCATTTTTGCCTTACGTGCTGACATGACAATCTAACCTCTCTTTTATTGGGGTGTGTGTGTGTGTGTGTGTGTGTGTGTGTGTTTGAGATGGAGTCTCACTCTGTTGCCCAGGCTGGGGTGCAATGGCACCATCTCGGCTTACTGCAACCTCCACTTCCTAGTTTTAAGCAATTCTCATGCCTCAGCCTCCCAAGTAGCTGGGATTACAGGCATATGCCACCATGCCTGGCTAATTTTTGTATTTTTAGTAGAGACAGGCTTTCACCATGTTGGTCAGGATGGTCTTGAACTCCTAACTTCAAGTGATCCACCGGCCTTTGCCTCCCAAAGTGCTGGGATTACAGGCATGAACCACTGCACCCGGCCATAAGCCCTCTTTTAAATTGGACACCACTGGTCTCCCTGAAGAGCTCAGAGCAGTCACAAAGGTCTTTTCAGCACAGAAAAATCTCTCTCCTGCCCAGGCTTCTTCTGCAAGGACAATGGTGATTATTGCCCATATTGAATACTTCCTGTGGTGCCGAGCCACCCTACTGAATCCTTACATTGACACTATCAGGTAGGTGCTATTCCTGCCCATTTTTCAGAGGAGACCCTGAGGCTAATAAATGCTAGAGCCCATTTGATGCCAAGCTGGAGCGCTTTTCAATAGAAAATATGCACAGCATGCACTCAATAATGGTGAACTACAGTTTACTAGTGGAAAACAAATCTGTTTGATTTAATCATGAACAGTCATTCAAAATTATTTTCCTGAACCAAAAAAAAGACTGATTGAACAAAGTTTCAAGATACAAAATCAATGTACAAAAATCAGTATCATTTCTGTACACCAACAACGTCCAAGCTGAGAGCCAAATCATGAACACAATCCCATTCCCAATAGCCACGAAAAGAATAAAATATCTAGGAATACAGCTAACCAGCAAGGTGAAAGATCTCTACCATGAAAATTATAAAACACTGCTTGAAGAAATCAGAGATGACACAAACAAATGGAAAAATATTTCATGCTCAGGGATAATCAATATTGTTAAAATGGTCATACTGCGGCCGGGCATGGTGGCTCATGCCTGTAATCCCAGCACTGTGGGAGGCCGAGGCGGGTGGATCACCAGGTCAGGAGATCGAGACCATCCTGGCTAACATGGTGAAACCCCATCTCTACTAAAAGCACAAAAAAAAATTAGCCGGGCTTAGTGGCGGGCGCCTGTAGTCTCAGCTATTCGGGAGGCTGAGGCAGGAGAATGGTGTGAACCCGGGAGGCGGAGCTTGCAGTGAGCCTCAATTGCCCACTGCAGTCCAGCCTGGACAACAGAGCAAGACTCCATCTCAAAAAAAAAAAAAAAAAAAAGGTCATACTGCCCAGAGGAATCTACAGATTCATGGCCATCCCTCTCAAACTAATGGCATTTTTCACTGAATTAGGAAAAACTATTCCAAAGTTCATATGGAACAAAAAGAAAAAAAACAAAGCCCAAATAGTAAGGCAATCCTAAGCAAGAAGAACAAAGCTGGAGGCATCACATTACTTGACTTCAAACTGTTCTATAAGGCTACAATAACCAAAACAGCATGGTACTGGTACAAAAACAGACACAAACACCAATGGGACAGAATAGAGAGCCCAGTAATAAAAATCACATACTTACAACAGTCTGATCTTTGAAAAAGTTGACCAAAAAAAGCAATGAGGGAAGGATTCCCTGTTCAATAAATGATGCTGGAATACCTGGCTAGCTATATGCAGAAGAGATTGAAGCTGGACGCTTTCCTTACCCCACATACAAAAATCAACCTAAGATGGATTAAAGACTTAAATATAAAGCCTAAAACTTGTAAAAACCCTGGAAGATAACCTAGGAAATACCATTCTGGACATGGACCCTGGCAAAGATTTCATAATGAAGATGTCAAATCAAATTGCAACAAAAACAAAAATTGACAAATGGGATCTAGTTAAACTAAAGAGCTTCTGTACAGCAAAAGAAACTATCAACCAGAATAAACAGACAACCTACAGAATGGGAGAAAATATTCGCAAACTATGCATCTGACAAATGTCTAATATCCAGAATCTATAAGGAGCTTAAATTAACAAACAAAACAATAAACGGTTCCATTAAAAAAGTGGGCAAAGGACATGAACAGACACTTTTCGAAAGAAGACATGCATGTGGCCAACAAAGCATATTCAACATCACTAATCATTACAGAAATGCAAATCCAAACCACAATGAGATAGCATCCACACCATCAGAATGGCTATTATTAATAAGTCAAAAAATAACAGATGCTGGCAAGGTTGTAGGGAAAAGGGAACACTTATACACTGCTGGTAGGAATGTAAATTAGTTCAGCCATCGTGGATAGCAGTATGGCAATTTCTCAAAGAAATTAAAACAGAATTACCATTCAACCCAGCAATCTCATTACTGGGTATATACCCGAAGGAATATAAACTGTTCTATCATAAAGACATATGCAGGTATATATTCATTGCATGCATATATATATTTATCACAGCACTATTCATAATTGCAAAGTCATGGAATCAACCTAAATGCCCATCAACGGTAGACTGAATAAAGAAAATGTGGTACATATACACTATAGAATACTACTCAGCCATAAAAAAGAGTGAGATCATGTCCTTTGCAGCAACATGGATGGAGCTGGAGGCCACGATCCAAAATGAGCTAACGGAGGAACAGAAAACCAAATACCACATTCTCTCACTTATAAGTGGGAGCTAAACATTGAGCACCCATGGACACAAAGCAGGGAACAACAGACACCAGGGCTTACTTGTAGGTAGAGGATGGGAGGAGGGAAAGGACAGAAAAACTACCTGTTGGGTACTATGTTTATTACCTGGATGATGAAATAATCCGTACAGTAAATCCCCATGACATGCAATGTACCTAAACAACAACTCTGCACATGTACTCCTAAACCTAAAGTAAATATTAAAAATAAATAAGTATTTTTTAAAAAAGACTAACTGTACTGGTCAATCCTCCTAATATCATGGCTAGGAAGGATATGGATATTCAGAGTGTATATATAACCCAAATTGTGTTTCTCTTCCAAAATATATAACACAAGTGGTCCAAACATGTATTAACTAACTGTCAAAACAAAACAGATCATTTTATTTGAAGCTACAAAAAGACTGGAGTATTGGCAGTTACTCTGAAATAATGGTGATCATGCTTGCCATATCATAGTGGCATTATACATTTGCTATGACACCTTCTCCATATAGCTGGGTGCTTCTTGAGGTCAGGGACTGACTTAAACCCTTAGACTTAGTCTCTTAGACTCACTTAGACCTTGGTACCATGCTAAATTTGTCGAGATACTAAATAATACGTGAATGCACTTTCTAGTTTTTTGTTTTTTTTTTTTTTTGAGACGTGGTTTTAGCCTGTTGCCCAGGCTGGAGTGCAATGGCACAATCTCGGCTCACTGAAACCTCTGCCTCCTGGGTTCAAGCAATTCTCCTCCCTCAGCCTCCCTAGTAGCTGAGACTACAGGCGCACGCCACCACACCTGGTTAATTTTGTATTTTTCGTAGAGATGGAGTTTCTCCATATTGTTCAGACTGGTCTCGAACTCCCAAACTCAGGTGATCCGCCCATCTAGGCCTCCCAAAGTGCTGGGATAGCAGGCGTGAGCCACCACGCCCGGCCGATTCTAGTTTGTTTGTTTGGTTGGTTGGTTGGTTTGAGACGGAGTCTGGCTCTGTTGCCCAGGCTGGAGTGCAGTGGCATGATCTCAGCTCACTGCAAGCTCCACCCCCTGGGTTCACGCCATTCTCCTGCCTCAGCCTCCCAAGTAGCTGGGACTACAGGCACCCACCACCACGCCTGGCTAATTTTTTTTGTATTTTTTAGTAGAGATGGGGTTTCACCGTGTTAGCCAGGATGGTCTCGATCTCCCGACCTCATGATCCACCCGCCTCAGCCTCCCAAAGTGTTGGGATTACAGGTGTGAGCCACCGCGCCTGGCCTCTAGTTTTTTTTTTAATTTATTTTTTGTAGAGATGGGTTCTCACTATGTTGCCCAGGCTGGTCTCAAACTCCTGACCTCAAGGATCCTCCCACCTCAGACACCCAAAGTGCTGGGATTACAGGTGTGAGACACCACACCTGGCTATGAATGCACTTAAAATCTAACAACTATGTGCACTTAATCTTCATCTCTCAGCAACTGTCGGTGGTGAATATTTTCAAGATCCTCTTTTTCATAGGAAGAGACTAACGCTGAAGGAGATGAAGTGACCAGCCCTGGGTCACCCCCTGGTAAACTGTGGTTCCAGGCTTTGGACTCAAGTCTCATGCTTGGAACTCCAGCTCTCATACTTTTTAACATTTTTACCAGGTAAAAGTGGGTTGGGAACCCCAGATGCCAAATGTGGCCCGATGTCTACCATTTCCAAACTGTCTTAATATGAAGCAGAATTAAATATAGGGAATTGGGCCGGGTTCGGTGGCTCATGACTGTAATCCTAGCACTTTGGGAGGCCGAGGTGGGTGGATTGCCTGAGCTCAGGAGTTTGAGACCAGCCTGGGCAAGCTGGTGGAACACTGTCTCTACTAAAATACAAAAAATTAGCCAGGCGTGGTGCATGCCTGTAATCCCAGGCTGAGGCACAAGAATTGCTTGAACCCGGAAGGCAGAGGTTGCAGTAAGCCAAGATGGCACCACTGCACTCCAGCCTGGGGGACAGAGTAAGACTCTGTCTCCAAAAAAAAAAAAAAGAAAAAAGAAAAAAAATTAAACACAGAAAATTGTCATAAGCCTTTAATGTACACGGACTCAGTCACGTATGCTTGTGAAGAGAAAGCAAGCATAATATAAGTACAGGCAGTTTGCTTCTGCAGGCTGTGGAATGGGAGCATGTCCAGGGTGAGGTTAGGGTGGCAGCTGCAGATGGCTGATCCTTCACCAGTCTCAGGAATCACCAGCTTCTTTTCCCATGTGGCCCTTTGCTGCCCTAAGTAGGAGTCCAGTGTTTATGCATGTTTTTACAATATTGAAAGATTAACATTTCTCCTACAATTTGACCTCTAAATACAAGGAAATAGCTTCATCTGGTTCGCAACCAAATAATAACGTGGGATCAGCTGGCTGGGCAGGACTTACTGTATTTAGAAATGATCTATGGATGGCCAGTGTGGCTGCTTCCTATGGGATTTGTGAGGGAATTTTGGGATATATGTAACTGTATTAGGGTTCTCTAGTGGGACAAGACTAATAGGATAGATGTATATATAAAGGGGAGCTTATTAAGGAGTATTGACTCACACGATCACAAGGTGAGGTCCCACAAGAGGCCGTCTGCAAGCTGAGGAGCCAGGAAGCCAGTCTGAGTCCCAAAACCTCAAAAGTGGGGAAGCCAGTAGGGCAGCCTTCAGTCTATGGTCAAAGGTCCCAGAGCCCCTGGCAAACCACTGGTGTAAGTCCAAGAGTCCAAAAGCTGAAGAACTTGGAGTCCGATGTTCCAGGGCAGGAAGCATCCAGCACAGGAGAAAGATGAGGCTGGAAGACTCAGCCAGTCTAGTCTTTCCATGTTCTTTTGGCTGCTTTTATCCTAGCCGTGCTGGCAGCTGATTAGATGGTGCCCACCCAGTTTGAGGTTGGGTCCGCCTCTCCCAGTCAGATGTTAACAGACACACTGAGGAATAATGCTTTGCATCCTTCAATCCGATCAAGTTGAGAATTAATATTAACCATCACAGTGACCATCGCCAAAAATCACCATGCTGATTTTGGATCCCAAGGTATACCTGAGAAGTATTGGGGAAACATCAAAACCAGACACAGATTAAAATAAGAAAGAAAGACAACTTTGACATTTTTTTGAGTGCTAGACATTCTTCTGTGAAGTTCCTGTGTACTAACTCATTTAGTCATCAGAACATGACTATTAGGTAGGTACTATCATTATCCTTCCCATTTCACAGATGAAGCAACGGATGCACAGAGAGATTCAGGAACTTGCCCAAGGACCTGGTTAGAGTGACAGAACCATGATTTGAATGCAGATAGACTAGGCCTACCACACTACACCACATTCCTATCTCCTTAACCAGACAGTGATCTCCAGGAAACTTGAATTAGGGTTCCTCATCTTTTCATCTTCTCTAGGTCTGGCCCTGACCTGTGATCACTGGGAATTCAATAAAGGCTCGCTTCAACTTGAATTGACTTCTTCGATTGTTGACTATCCTTTAAAACATTTTGACAAAAGAAAAAGAACAACTGCCCAGGAACTCAGCATTTAGAGGCAATCTATAGCTTCTTAAACACAGCAAAAGGGGTGGAAACAGGATAATAAAATGAAATATAAATAGCTTCACCATTATCCGTAGAACCCATTATGAAGCATAACAGTGGCTGGTCTCTCTCACTCTCTCTAAAATACAACCTCTTTGCAATGTTTTGTTTCTGTTACTGTTTCTGCTCGGGTAAAAGGATTACAAATAAAGGGTTAAACGTTTTAGTGAGAATTGTATTAATTGGGCCAGAGGTTGAATGTAGGCCTATATTTGTGCTAACGCTGAAAAACGTTTTGCAAAGCCATATCATGTATTTGAGGTAGCAAGGGAAAGGCTTAGCCTACTCAAGATGACTGTGTTTTGTTTTTTTGTTTTTTTGTTTTTGAGACAGAGTCTCCCTCTGTCACCCAGGCTGGAGTGCAGTGGCCTGATCCCGGATCGCTGCAACCTCCACCCCCAGGGTTCAAGCAATTCTCCTGCCTCAGGCTCCTGATTAGCTGGGACTACAGGCATGCGCCACCACGCCCAGCTAATTTGTTTTTGTATTTATGGTAGAGATGGGGTTTCACCATGTTGGCCAGGCTGGTCTTGAACTCCTGGCCTCAGGTGATCCACCCGCCTCGACCTCCCAAAGTGCTGGGATTAAATGCGTGAGCCACCGCGCCCAGCCAAGATGACTGTTTTCAAGCAAGTTGACAACCACTTTGCCAGAGCTCCTTTAATGAGCTAATTACAAAGGGCTCTTAGGTGTCCTCTGAAGCCAGTTCTGGAGGAGCTCCACTTAAGAGACACTGAATGAGTCATTAGCACCTGAAATACTGTACACACTGTTGGCTCTTGGAACATATAATGGAATTAATGTTTTTGCCACTTCAGACTGATCTTCTGTAGTAGTCAGGACGTTTTCAGTTGTAAGCAACAGAAAACCAATTCAAATTGGCTTACACAGAGAGGAGTGTTTTCGAGCATTAGGCATGGCTGAAACTCTGTGCTTAAAGGCTATCAGCAGGAATCTGACTGTGTCCATTTCTTGGCTTTTCTTCCTTTGTGTTTGTTCCATTCTTAAGCAGGCTTTCTCTAAATGGTGTTAAAACTGTTTCTAGCAGTTTCAGCCTCGTACACCATCACCTAGCGCCCCAGTGGAAAGAGAGCATCTACTTGTCAATAACTCTAGCAAGAATCCCAGGGCTAAGATTCCTTGACTCTGATTGCCTTAGCTTGGGTTACATGCCCACCCTCGAGCCAATCCTGGTGGCCAGAACAATGTAATAGTCTTATTGGTCAGAACTGAGTCAAACCAAGACATGGGTGGGCCCCATTGAATCACGCTTCTAGATGGAAGGAGGTAGTTTCCCAGATAAATATCCAGGTTCAGATGCCAGATGATGGGATTGGGAGGTGAGGGGGATTGGAGACTGGGCCGGCAAAACCAATGAATGTCCCTGGAACCTTCCCTCTAAATAATTTCCAACAAGCAAGGTGTTACCAAACTGAGGGACTTCATATGGTTTATAAGCAAAACTTAGATATTTGCTTAGATATCTGAGGTTTAAAACATGGCCTATATTGGCTACAACATTTTGGAAATATTTTCTGCAAATTGCACTCACCCACATGGCTTGAAGTTTGGGGGTTTTCCTTTTTTCTTTTATTAAAGAAAAAAAATTGTTTTAATTCTTGGAACAAGTCCTTAAGAAAAAGAGGAACAGAAATGCCACAACATGATTTGAAACAGACGACTCCGAGAGCAAAATTTGCGTGGCAAATTAGCACACAGTTGACATTCCTTCTGTCCTGATGACATTTCTGATGTTGAATAATATTCCTGGGGTTCCTCTCTAAACTATTATGCCTTTTATTTTTTATGTTAATGACTTTGTTCCTAATTACAATAGCAATACCTGCCTAATTGAGAAAGAATTGAATGTATCAAGAAAGCACCCACAGTGAGCTAACATACACACACACACACACACACACACACACACACACACACATACATACTGTTCATTGCCCAACATTCTAGTTAGGAACATCTGTTTAATAAGTGTCATGCCCTAGGTGTTAGATAGTCGCTGTCCTAGTCCCATTTCACAGATGGATAAGCTGAGGCTCACAGTATTCAAGCTGTTAAGTACCAGAGCTAAGAATTCAACTTTTATCTGTCTGAGCACAAAGCCTTGGCCTTAATCACTATATTATTCCTCCACTCTACCCTGTTGCCCAAAGATTTTCAAAACTAACCTTACAGAAATGGTGTATTGTTCATAATTTCTACAGCTTGCTCTTTTTTTTTTTTTTTTTTTGAGTTGTAGTCTTGCTGTGTCACCCAGGCTGGAGTGCAGTGGCGCGATCTCGGCTCACTGCAACTTCTGCCTCCCGGGTTCAAGCAATTCTCTGCCTCAGCCTCCCAAGTAGCTGGGATTACAGGCACCTGCCACCACGCCCGGCTAATTTTTTGTAGTTTTAGTAGAGAAGGGGTTTCGCCATCTTGGCCAGGCTGGTCTTGAACTCCTGACCTCGTGATCCACCTGCCTCGGTCTCCCAAAGTTTTGGGATTACAGGTGTGAGCCACTGCGCCTGGCCAGCTTGCTTTTTAAAATACCACATTTTCTTATGTCATTTAATACTCTTTCACATAATTTCTTTTGGACTGCACTGAGTCTATCACATGGATGCACCATAATTTACTTAGCTAATCTTCAATTATTGGACATTTAGGTTGCTCCTAATTTTTTTAAAAAAAATTTATTTATTTATTTATTTTTGAGATGGAGTCTCACTCTGTTGCCCCAGGCTGGAGGGCAGTGGTGCTATCTCAGCTCACTGCAACCTCTGCCTCCTGGGTTCAAGCAAGTCTCGTGCCTCAGCCTCCCGAGTAGCTGGAACTACAGTCGTGCACCACCACACCCAGCTAAATTTGTATTTTTAGTAGAGACAGGGTTTCACCATGTTGGCCAGGCTGGTTTCCAACTCTTGACCTCAAGTGATCCACCTGTTTCAGCCTCCCAAAGTGATGGGCTCAGGTGTGAGCCACTGAGCCTGGCCAAATTTTTTTAGTAATATATATACATACATATATACACATATATACTATATATATACACACACACATATACAATATATATATACACATATATATGTATTTTTTTTTAGATGGAGTCTCGCTCTGTTGCTCAGGCTGGAGTACAGTGATGTGATCTCGGCTCACTGTAACCTCTGCCTCCTGGGTTCAAGTGACTCTCCTGCCTCAGTCTCCTGAGTAGCTGGGATTACAGGCGCACGCCACCATGCCCGGCTAATTTTTGTATTTTTAGTAGAGACGGGGTTTCACCATTTTGGTCAGGCTGGTCTCGAACTCCTGATCTCGTGATCCACCCTTCTTGGCCTCCCAAAGTGCTGGGATTACAGGCGTGAGCCACCACGCCTGGCTTAGTATTATATTAATGCTGCAGTGAACCACCTTGGAGAAATATTTTCCAATACAACTCTGATTATGTTCTTACCACAAATTCCTAGAATTACTGGATCAAAAAGATTTTGTATATTTAGTATTTAATAGCTATTGCCAAATTGTTCTTTAGAAAGGCAGACCCAATGTGCAATCCTAAGATAACTTGCCTCCTTCCCTCCCTTTCTTCCTTCCTTTCTTCCTTCCATTCTCTTTCTTGAGACAGGGTCTCGCTATATTGCCCAAGTTGGCTTTGAACTCCCATCTCAGGAGATCCTCTCTTCTCAGCCTCCCGAGTAGCTGGGACTCCAGGCATGCACCACCGTGCCTGGTGAAACTATGAATTTCTACTTTCCCACTCGGACCCGTTATGCCTCTTCTTCAGAGATGACTAATCATGAGCTAATTGTGCCTCTCATCTCCTGCAATGGGGAATAGAGTCCCTTTCAACATATAAATCATTCAGTAGTATTCAAATGGTTTAATGCAAATGCAGTGGTAAAAAAAAAAATTGCTCAGTGATAATTTGCATCCCAACCATCATCACTGTCTGCATTAGGAGAATTTATAATCATTTTTCCCCAACCTTTGTGACTGAACCAATGTCCTGAGTATAGGATTATAGTCAGCACCATCAAGATAACTCTGGGTATGGGCCAGGCGCGGTGGCTCACGCCTGTAATCCCAGCACTTTGGGAGGTCAAGGTGGGCGGATCTCAAGGTCAGGAGATTGAGACCATCCTGGCTAACATACTGAAACCCTGTCTCTACTAAAAATACAAAAAAAATTAGCCAGGCGTGGAGGCAGGCACCTGTAGTCCCAGCTACTCGGGAGGCTGAGGTAGGAGAATGGCGTGGACCCGGGAGGTGGTGCTTGCAGTGAGCCGAGATCACACCACTATACTCCAGCCTGGGCAACAGAGGGAGACTCCGTCTCAAACAAACAAAAAAAAGATAACTCTGGGTATGAATCTGTTGCTAGTGGGAGTGATGTGATGGCTTCAGTAAAGGATGATGACGTGGCTGATCTGCTGCAATGACCCCTCTGACTGTAGGTGGTTATGTTGACATGGAGTCCGTCACACCCAACTTCCCTTTGTATGGGAACTCCCCTGCCTGCGGTGCTCTGCTTAGAGGAGCCACGGTCAGCTGTTTTCTGTCTAATTGGACTGGGCTCATGACCTACCGTGTAGTCAGACTCAAAACACAAGAGAATCAGACCTCTCTGAGAAATTTATTTATTAATTCATTTACTTTTGAGACAGAGTCTCGCTGTCTCACCCAGGCTGGAGTGCAGTGGCACGGTCATGGCTCACGGAAGCCTCAACCTCCTGGGCCCAATTGACCTTCCCACCTTAGCCTCTCGAGTAGCTGGAACCACAGGCATGCACCACCACGCCTGGCTAATTTTTGTATTTTTTTTTGTAGAGACGGAGTTTCAACATGTTACCCAGGCTGGTCTTGAACTCCTGGCCTCAAGTGATCTGCCTGCCTTAGCCTCAGCCTCTCAAAGTGCTGGGATTACAGGCATGAGCCACCACATCCGGCCTCTTTCAGAAATTTAAACTTGAAGAACTGAAACAATCGAAGGCAAGCAGGGGGTAGCTGAATCCAGTAGTGGAAAGGGGGAAATTGAAGGGCAGATTCCGTAGTCTAAGAGTTCGTGACTCTATGTCAAGCACAGGCTTGGCCCACTGTTGATGTTCAATACGTATTTGTTGTTGAATGAATGAGCGGAAGGATTTGATGATAGCCGACCTCTCTCTTCTTTCTCCGTCCAGGGTGCCTCCCCCTTCTGGTAGCAGCATCCCCATTCCTTTGGGAGCCTGCCTAGAATGTTAATTCTAGCTGGGGGAATTCTAATTGCAATTCTAAAATGTAATTCTAGCAAGGGGAAGGCAGGTTCCCGAAGAAATGGGAAACAGGTTCACTCCATATGGATTGACACTGCCTACCTGAACCACCTGAATTAAGAAGTGTGGTATCCTCAGCTCTTGAGGCTCCCCATGATGTGACACTAGTGTCCTTTTCTGCTTCTATGCTCACACTCCTCCTTGGCTTCTTTCCCTTCCCTGGATGTCCGCTTTTCTGTTTTTTGTTTTGTTTTGTTTTGTTTTGACACAGAGTCTCACTGTGTTGCCCAGGCTGGAGTGCAGTGGCGAGATCTTGGCTCACTGCAACCTCTGCCTCCTGGGTTCAAGCAATTCTTGTGCCTCAGCCTCCCAAGTAGCTGGGATTACAGGTGCCCACAACCATGCCCAGCTTATTTTTGCATTTTTAGTAGAGACGGGTTGTCACCACATTGGCCAGGCTGGTCTCCAACTCCTAGCCTCAAGTGATCCGCCTGCCTCTGCCTCCCAGAGTGCTGGGATTATAGCCGTGAGCCACCGTGCCCAGCCCTAATTCTCTACCTTTTGTCTGTGTGAGCTTGGGAAAGTTAATTAACCTCTCTGAGCCTCAGTTTCCTTAGCTGTGAAATGGGGATAAAAGTGAGATAACACCCACAAAGGAGCTGGAACAGAGCTGCCACTCATTGTCTTCTGTTAAATATGAGCCCTGCCCCATCCCAGAGATTTGGGGAATAACTGCAGGAAAGTCCGTGGTCACGGTGGGCAGTATAGTGTGACAATTAAGAGCATCAGCTCTAGCTCTGTCATTTAGTAGCCCTGTGACCTTGGGTAAGTTTATGTAACCTCAGTCTCCTCACTTTAAAGTGGGATAATAATAGCGACAACATCTGAGAGCCATTGTGAGGAATAATTGAGAGGATTGAGAAACGTGCCCAGGAGGTGGGCTTGGCTCTGAAGAAGCACTCAATGAATGGCAGCTATTTTTTGGCGGAAACCATGGGGAGAGAGGCTTTCTTTTCTCGATAGGGTTACTAAACTGGTAGAATGTGAGCCTAGAGCTGCTAGCAGCCATCTGTGGGAGGCCCTGCCTGCAAACAAAGCCAGCCCAAAGAAGGCCGAGCAGCAGAGAGGTGGACAGGGAGGGACTCCTGGTGACTTTTTTTTTTTTTTTGTAATGCAACTTTTTTCCTTTCTTTTTTTTTTTTTCCGAGTCTCGCTCTGTCATCTGGGTTGGAGTGCAGTGGCGTGATTTCAGCTCACTGCAACCTCTGCCACCCAGGTTCAAGCAATTCTCCTGCCTCAGCCTCCCGAGTAGCTGGGATTACAGGCGTGCGCCACCATGCCCAGCTAATTTTTGTATTTTTAGTAGAGATGAGGTTTCACCATGTTGGCCAGGCTGGTCTTGAATTCCTGACTTCAAGTGATCTGCCTGCCTCGGCTTCCCAGAGTGCTGGGGTTACAGGCATGAGCCACTGAGCCGGGCCTGTAATGCGACTTTAAAATATAACACTAAATACTTATTAACATGGGGTTGTACCAGACATGTGTTTAACTCATGCAAATCCAACTCTGCATGTTTGCCTTGGTAATGAGGAAGTGGGTATAATCCTCCAGAACCAAAGGGCCAGGGAGGAGGTCTGAGTGCCACTCCAAATGGGGTGTGGAGGACTGAACTCCTCCTTCCCTGGCTTCTGTAGCTGAGGGAGGCACAAAACCAGTGGTTCCCAACTTTATCCCAATGCTTAGTACCAGGATGCCCTTTTTATTATTTATTTCTGTATTTATTTATTTAGAGACAGGGTCTTTCTCTGTTGCCCAGACTGGCAGTGGCGTGATCATGGCTCACTGTAGCCTCCAACTGCTGGGCTCAAGTGATCCTCCCACCTGGGCTTCTGAGTAGCTGAGACTACAGGCGCACCACACTAGCACATCCAGCTAATTTTTAAATTTTTTGTAGAAACAAGGTCTCGCTATGTTGTCCAGGCTGCTCTCGAACTCCTGGCCTCAAACGATCCGCCTGCCTCAGCCTCCCAAATGCTGGGATTACAGGTGTGAGCCACTGTGCCCGGCCAGGATACCCTTTTCAAAACCTTCAAAAATATCACCAACCTGCACTTGAGTGTTTTCTCATGAGAAAAGGCATAACAACAAAAAGCCACTGTGAATTAGTATGTACTTTTAAAGAATTTTTAAAAATTGCACTAGTGCTGAAAAACTATTCATGTGTCTATATGTGGGAGGTATTGTTTATTCATTCTATGGACCATTCCATCTGCACTTTGGGTATGCAGACTCTTGCTGTATGACTCTGGGGCCCAACCCCCAACACCTCTACAGCCCTTGGGTTCCAGTGGTGCAGTTCTTGGTATGTGGCCTGCAGCCCACTGAGTGGGTCTAAGCTCCTTTCTACAGGCCATCAACTGATCCTAAAAGGTCACATTCTTCCTCTGGTTCTTATGAACAAGTTACACATATATCCGTTGATTTCCAGCTTGATGCATGACTAAGTGCCACTTTCTAGGAACCTACTAAGTGAGTTACTACAATTGACTAGTCATAACTAAAATTAGAGTGTTACTGGGAATTACCGAGAACTCAGCCGCAGGGATCTTCTGGAAGCCTGGCTCCTGCATGATGCTTTTCAATGCTGCAAAACTCCTACTGCACAAGTCACAAAGCAGGAACTGGTGGCTGCAGATGGGAGGAAGGGTCTTTGGCCTTGCCTAAGTGAGCCAAAGATCAAAAGCATTTGAGAGCCACTGTTCTAGGATCTGGAAATTCAGTAATCTACTCTCCTGGGTGCTTTAGTCCCCCATCTCGATATCCCTGACATTTCCAGCTGCTCTTAACGTCATTCCCAACTTGCACTTTTAGACCACCATAAGTTACCTATAAAGCATGCTTTAAACAACTGATATTATAAATAACATTCAAATTCCAGTTCTGACCTCTAAATGCCTAAGCCGACCATTCAGTTAATAAATATTCAATAATACTCAAATATATTCAGGCGTATATTAGATCCAGGGCATGTAGTAGTCATCAAGACTGTTGCATTCCCTGTTTGCATGGAACTTATGGTCTGGTATCAGAAAAAGACACTATATAAATAAATGAAGCAATGATAACATTTCATGGGCTTAAAAAAATAAAGTATTGAGGTAGAGGCTGGGTGCAGTGGCTCATGCCTATAATCCCAGCACTTTGGGAGGCTGATGGGGGGGATCATTTGAGGTCAGAAGTTTGAGACCAGCCTGAACAACATGGGGAAACCCCGTCTCTACTAAAAGTATGAAAAATTAGCCAAGCGTAGTGGCACAAGTCGGTAATCCCAGCTACTGAGGAGGCTGAGGCACAAGAATCATTTTGAACCTGGGAGGCAGAGATTGCAGTGAGCCAAGATTGTACCACTGCACTCCAGCCTGTGCAACGGAGCAAAACTCTGTCTCCAGAAAAAAAGTATTGAGGTAGAGAATGGCATGGGAGTCCCTATTTGAACACAGTGGTCAGGAAAGATGTCTTAGTCCATTTTATGTTGCTATACAGGAATACCTAAGGCTAGGTGATTTGTAAATAAGTTTTTTTGGTGCACACTGCCACAGGCCGTACAAAAAGCATGGTGCCAACATCGGCTTCTAGTGAGGGCCTCATGCTGCTTCCACCCAACGGGAGATAAATAGGAAATGGTGTGTGCAGAGATTGTATGGCAGGAGAGGGCGAACGAGAGAGGAGAGATGTACCAGATTCTCAAGGGAACCAATAGAGTGAGGACTCTCCACAAGGGAGGGCATTAATCTGTACATTAATCTGTGCCATTAGGCCCCATCTCCAACATTGGGATCAAATTTCTTTTTTTCTTTCTTTCTTTTTTTTTTTTTTTGAGACGGAGTTTCGCTCTTGTTGCCCGGGGTTGGAGTGCAATGGCGTGATCTCAGCTCACGGCAACCTCAGCCTCCCAGGTTCAAGTGATTCTCCTGCCTCAGCCTCCCTAGTAGCTGGGATTACAGGCATGTGCCACCATGCCCAACTAATTTTGTATTTTTAGTAGAGACGGGGTTTCTCCATGTTGGTCAGACTGGTCTCGAACTCCCGACCTCAGGTAATCTGCCCGCCTCGGCCTCCCAAAGTGCTGGGATTACAGGCATAAGCCACCGCACCCGGGCTTTTTTTTTTTTTTTTTTTTTGAGACGGAGTCTTGCTTTGTTGCCCAGGCTGGAGTGCAGTGGCACAATCTCAGCTCACTGCCAGCTCCACCTCCCAGGTTCATGCCATTCTCCTGCCTCAGCCTCCCGAGTAGCTTGGATGACAGGCACCGGTCACCATGCCTGGCTCATTTTTTTGTATTTTTAGTAGAGATGGGGTTTCACTACGTTAGCCAGGATGGTCTCGATCTCCTGACCTCGTGATCCACCCGCCTCAGCCTCCCAAAGTGCTGGGATTACAGGAGTGAGCAACTGCACCTGGCAGGATCAAATTTCAACATGAAGTTTCAGGGGACAAACATCCAAACCATAGCAAAAGATGTATCAACCAGGGTTCTGTGATTGTAAGCAACAGAAAATGATGCTGGAAATTTATTGGAAAGATGTGGGAGACTTGCAGAAGCAATGGAAAAACTGGACCTTGTGAAGGAATGACCAGAACCACACAAATTCTAGGGATGTAGGGAGCAAGAATGAATGGAGTGTCTCTTAAGTGTCTCACGTACATGATATATCAATGTCAGCCATTGTCTGTCTTTGGTTCATTTGGGTCAAGGGCTTATTCATTTGGCATGGAGGGAAGGGAAGGGCAGGAAACCTTGATTGGCAGTTGCTCCAAGGCCATGTAGAATGCAGGAAGAAAACAGGGGTTCCATGGTGGACCCCACTGGCTGGCCAAACCAACACGCATTTCTACCTCATTCCCTCTGCCAATTTCCATTGTCAAGACTAGAAAAAGCAAAATCTTTGCCTTCCTAGCCTCCCTTGCAGCAAGGGATGGGTGTATTACACAGGTCTGGCCAATGAGACAAGCTGCTGTGGATGGAAGAAGGTGTTCCGGAAAAACTTTTGCTTTTGAATAAAAGGGACAGGTGTTGCCAGTACCACCATTTCCCCACTTCTTCTTGTTTTGAACATGGCCATAAACCTTGGAATGACAGTCATCTGCTTTCTTGCAACCACGATAGAAAATGCAAGCGACTCACAGAGATACAGACTTTGGTATTGCTGGGTTGAACCAACTCTGGAATTACCTAAGCTAGATCTCTTGTTTTGTGAGAAAAATAAATCCTTATTTTTTTAAGTCATTGTTTATCAGGTGGTCTTCTGTTACTTGCAGCCAAACGTATTTTTTGGTAATTGTGGTAGATTGTATTATTGTTCCCAACTGTTTGCTCCCCTTCCTGTAATGGGATTATACATCCCTGTCCATTGTCATGTAAATTTCAGTGCCTCCCAGCAGTGGTATATCCTTTCCCACCCCCGACAGACTTGGACACAACTTGTTTTTTGTTTGTTTGTTTGTTTGCTTTTTGAGACAAGGTCTCACTCTGTCACCCAGGCTGGAGTGTAGTGTTGTGATCTCAGCTCACTGCAACCTCCGCCCCCCAGGTTCAAGCGATTCTCCCACTTCAGCCTCCTGAGTAGCTAGGACTACAAGCACACGCCACCACACCTGGTGAATTTTAATATTTTTTGGTAGAGATGGGGTTTCACCATATTAGCCAAGCTGGTCTCAAACTCCTGACCTGCCCACGTTGGCCTCCCAAAGTGCTGAGATCACAGACATGAGCCACTGTGCCTGGCCACAACTTGTTTTGATCAATGAACTGTGAGCAGATATGACAAATGCCAAGTCTGACCAGAAGCTTTAAGAGAGATTGTGTGATTCAGTTCTGTCACCTGCTGTTTTCCATCTGCCATATGGACAGCTTGTCCCAAATAGGGGCTGTTCCTTTAGACTGTGTCCCAGAATGAGAGATGCATGGAGCTGTAGCAGCTGAAATGTAACAAACATGAAATAAATGTTTGTTCTTGGAAGCCACTAACCTTGGGGTTGTTTGTTACTGCATCAAAACTGACCAATACACTGAAAATGATCCTGTTACCTCCAAAACTAGTATGAATGTTAAGCATGCAAAATTAATGGTATCCACTATTGAAGGCCTTACTGAGAACATGACAATAAAGCTGAGGTCTCAAGCATGCAAAGTGATCAGCCATGCAGATAAACAGGTGAAGAGTATTCTAGGTCAGGGAATCACATACTCAAAGACCTGAGCCAGGAAGGTGCTTGGCATTTTATTTTTTTAAGACAGGGTATTACTTTGTCACCCAGGCTGGAATGCAATGGCGTGATCATGGCTCACTGCAGCTTTGACCTCCTGGGCCCGAATGATCCTCCCTCCTCAGTCTCCTGAGTAGCTGGGACTATAGTCACATGCCACCACATCTGGCTTATTTTTTATTTTTAGTAAAGACAAGGTCTTGCTATGTTGCCAAGGCTAGTCTCAAACTCCTGGGTTCAAGCGCTCCTCCCACCTTGGCCTTCCAAAGTGCTGGGTTTACAGGAATGAGCCATTGTACCCGGCCATGCTTGGGATTTTTTTTTTTTTTTTTTTTTTGAGACGGAGTCTCGCTCTGTCACCCAGGCTGGAGTGCAGTGGTGCGATCTTGGCTCACTGCAACATCCGCCTCCTGGGTTCCAGCAATTCTCCCACCTCAGCCTCCCGAGTAGCTAGGGTTGCAGACATGCACCGCCATGCCTGACGAATATTTGTGTTTTTTGGTAGAGGCATGGTTTCCTCAAGTTGGCCAGGTTGGTCTCGAACTTGACTTCAGGTGATCCACCCATCTTGGCCTCCCAAAGTGCTGGGATTACAGGCATGAGCCACCACGCCCGGCCCATGCTTGGCATTTTTAAGAAACCAATGTCAGGATGACTTTCCTCTGTTCCCGTTCTTCCTGTTTTCAGGTCTTTTAGCTTGGACTTCTGTTTCTAGTGCTACTCTCTTCTCCTTGGACTTGCTGTTCCAACTCAGCTTCACTGTCCCTGATCATTTGTCTCTCTAAGGGCTCAGCTTGCTCTCATCTCTGGCTCATTCCACTCTTCACTATTTGGTGTTGCCCATCCCAGCCCTGACCCCAGGAACTGGGTCAAGCCAGAACCCAGCCTGGAAACACAAGGCCAGGCATCAGACAAGGGGGTGGTTTCATTTCTCTCCCCAGGCTCATTTTATGGTATTCCAGTTCAGCACTAGGGAAGCAGAAATCCTTCCATATTTCTTAATTGGTGGCCACACAGCTTGTTAAATTTAATTAATGAGGTATCATCAACTCATCTCTGATGCCTTGGTGGAAAGTTGAATTCCACATGCAGGTTGGGAAAACAGGTGGGTGAATGTGTCTCTGTGAGTTTCAGGGGTAGGTTGTATTCCTGGTGGGCACTCCTGGGATACTCGGTCTAAAACAGTCAAAATCTCATGTATATTAAATGAATGATATGCTTGCTCCCAAATCCTGTGAAACAGGCTCATTTTAGTATACCTCCCTGCCCTCAAGTTCTACCCCTGAGAACTCTGTCACAGCCCTGCAATGCCTCCCTCTTCTCATGCCCCAGTCACTCAGTTTCTCAGGAGACCTTTCAGTTATTTATTTCTCACCCTTGTTTCTGAGAAAGTTGTGTCTTTTAAACAAATCCTGTCTTACTCAGGTGAGCCTGATTGGATCTCTGTTCCTTACAACTCGAGATGTTCAGACGAGCCCACCTGTCCCCCATTTTGCCCGTGGCTGTCATTTGGTGGAGATCATAATAAGATTATTTGGAGAAGTGATGCCTGCCAAACCCAACCCTCATTGTAAAAAGAGCAGAAGATTTGGCTCTTTTTACAGTGGAGTGAAGACGAACCTAGCAAAGAGATGCTGAGAAAGGGTGGGAAAGTAGAGAGATCGAAACAAGGAGTTAGAGGCTGTGAAAAAGATGGAAGAGGCTGATGGCTCTTCCAGAATTCACAAGCTGGGGTCTTTGGGGACCCAATTCAGCCTTGCAAACATGTTTTGTTGGGCTGAAACCATGTCTTTAAAAAACGTTGAGTGTAAATGCTTTGAAGACAAGAATGCACTTTTCTGTTCACCATAGTCCCCACCACTCCCTATTGTCCTCCCAGTGGCTTCCTCCACTTAGTTGGAGTCTAATGGTCTAGTTCTTTAGCCAGTTGAGTTTGTCATCTGTGCTTTATGTAAAAAGCCTGGTTAGAGGATTTTCAGGAAAGGGTTAGAAAGGCCCTATCATTAAGTTTAACCCTTATCTTACATTTGAAATCTTACACTTCTACCAGAGTCCCACACTATGAGCCTTATTAGACGCTACCATTTCCATGCATCAAATGTGCTAAATAAAGAGTGATGTGCAAACCCGCGTTGGAAGTAAAGGCAGCATCTCGTGTTGTGTTGGACTTGTCTAAGGAGAGGAACTGACACTGCTTACCTGTTGCCGAAGACAAGCAGGAGGAGACCCTTGAGAGGTCCCTTTAGAAGCAAAGAGGTTTCTCAGTGGGATCATTTCCACCTCTGGTCCATCTGACTTCACATGGGAGGAAAAGCCAGAAATGTCCCCCTAAGCTAGAAGAGGGGAAAAAGAAAATGCACTTAGGAACTGCCGATGATAGGGAAGAGAGCAGGGGGCAACATGTCCAGATCTTGCAAGAGACACTCAGGCAGCATTCCAGGCTCAGCCTGAACTTTCGACCCCATTGTCTACTCTAATTACTGGAACCAGCAGGATTAATTCCTCGACCTACTTTCCAGTTTTGTTTTGTTTTTTTTTTTCTGCCACAGAGCGATAAGGCTGCACTGGGCTTCTCTCTGTCATTTGAATGCAACAGTGGGGTTACATGCAGACTCGTGTTAGAGCCAAAGGAGGGTCTGATCTTTGAACTGGGGGTTCAAGATCACTTCTTTTTAGTTGATTCTCAATAAAGAGCACTCGAACACATGAAAACATCCCCTACTTTGAGAACAGAGATAGCAATGAAAACAAGATATTATTTTATACCTGCTAAATTAGCATACAATTTAAACTGATACATTAAAAAAAAATTTTCTTTAACTACCAAATGCTGGTGAGGTTGAAAGAAACCTGATGTTCACAAGTTGCTGGGTGGCACAATTTTATAATACAGCAATATATATTAGGGATCATTTAAAACCATGCTGTCCATTGATTCTGTAATCTCATTCCTGGGAAGTTGTCCAAAGGAAATGATTCCAAAGAAGGAAGAGCTGTATACAGAGACCTTCACTGCAGCATAGAGAGAAGAGTGTCAAAATGACTCATACGTAGGCTAGCAAACTCACGGGCCAAATTCTGCCAGAGGCCTGTTTTTGTATGGCCAGCCAGCTAAGAATGTTTTTTCTTTAAAGCCTTTTTAAAAGAATATTAACATGAACAAAAAAAAATGCGAAGTATGGCCAGCGAGTTAAGAATGTTTTTTCTTTAAAGGCTTTTTTTAAAAGAATATTAACATGAACAAAAAAAAAAAGAGTAGCGTTAGCTGACCTCTAGAATAAGAAAAACTTGGATAAAGATTATAGAACAGCATAGAAAAATGTTTACCATACATTAAGCATTGCAAAATATAAAATGGAATTTCACTATGATATCAACCATTTAAAAAGATGTCCTGTGTATGCAGGAAGAGAAGGCGAAGATGAAATCAGTTGTTTGGGAGTGATTTGAAGGAAGTTATTACTCTTAGAATCCCTTCTTATCAGAAACAGCTCAGATGCTCATGGGTAGGGAGTTTATTTTCTAAATGTGTCATCCTTATGATAGAGTACTATGCAGCCATTAAAAATGATGCTTTGGGTCTGCATTTACTGAAATAGAAAGATGCTGATGACATACTGTCAAATGAAAAGGAACATTACAGAACAGCATGCTCAGTGTGTTCTCATTTATATAAATTGAATACTGATCAATTTCTGTGTGTATGCATAGAGAACAATCTAGAAGGGCAAATACAAAATATGTTTGCCGCAATTATCTCTGAGTGATGGAATTTGGGGTGAATTTTACTTTTACTATTTGATGGTTTATATTTTTCTCAAACGACCACTTATTATCTTTATAATTAAAAAAACTCAACAGAAAACTTAAAAATTTGTCATTGGCAAGGAAGCCAAGGCTCTAGGAATCTGCTGTGCCCTCCCCTGTCTCTTTTCACTGCCTTCACCTTAAATGCCACTTCCTCCAGCCTCTGGGTCTCAGGCACAGGCCCAGGACTCGCTTTGGCTGCAAAATTTAAGGTGATGCCAAAAAACTCAGCGATCAAGATAAACATTTTAATGCCATATTTTAAAAAATCAAAATTAATGGGAAAATTCATGATGAACAAAATATTAAAATTTTTAATAAAGACAGGATCAGTATTATGGATTTTTCCCTTTTCCTCTGTCTCCAGTATGCCTTGGCACGGCACTTTTACTGAGTCTGTCTCTGTCTAAGACATTGATGCTTTGTTCACCATGAATTTTTGGCATTAATTTTTATTTTTAAAAATATTGTAATAAAATGCTACTTATCTTGATACTGAGCCTTTTGGCACTCCCTTAAATATACTAAAAAATCATTGAATTGGACCTTTTCAAGAGAAATTTATGGTATATAAATTATACCTCTATAAAGCTGTTTAAAACTTTATTTGTGGATATGAAAATTTGAATTTTGTGTCATTTTCATGTATTACAAAAAGACAGCAAATCTGTTACCTGTTTTTAAAAATTTTTGAGACAGGTCATGCCCTGTTGCCCAGGCTGGAGTGCAGTGGTGTGATCACAGCTCACCATAGCCTCGACCTCCTGGATTCAAGCACTCCTCCCACCTCAGCCTCTCAAGTAGCTGGGACTATAGGCATGTACCACTACCCCTGGCTAATTTTTAGAAATTTTTGTACAGTTGGGGGTCTCACTATGTTGCTAGGCTGGTCTTGAACTCCTGAGCCCAAGTCATCCTCTCACTTCAGCCTGACAAAGTGCTGGAATTGCAGGTATGAGCCACCATACCTGGCCTAAGTTTCAAAATTGTTTGTAGGAACACGGTCTTGCTATGTTGGCCAGGCTATTCTTGAACTCGTGGAAGCAATCCTTTCACCTCTGCCTCCCAAAGAATTGGCATTACAGGCGTGAGCCACCACGCTCTGCCTGCTTGCATGTTTCATATAGCCTACGGGTTAAGAATGATCTTTAAACTTATAAAAAGTAGGGAAAAAAATCAAAAGAAGGATAATATTTTGTGATACATGAAAATGACACAAAATTTAAATTACAGGTGACCCCTGAGTTAAAACATGGGAAATAACTTAACACAGAACCTGACTTGCATCAATTTAGGCTTACAAAGGAGTCAAATGGCCTCTCGATGCTGTTTCTCCGAGGCAGGATAGGCGAATACCTGCCACTTGGGGTTGTTTTGAGGAAATGTGGGCTGAGCACCTGCACAGAAGCCTCTACCTTTGCAAGGTTGACATTTCCAGGAGCAGAGAAGCCAAGCTACCACCCAGGCAGCTTGCTCTGGAAGCACAAGGGTCACTGAACCAGCTCCAATCACCAGTTCTGTTCCTATATCTCTTTGGTCTCTTTCTGCCATAGATATTCCCCACTTCTTGGTCATATTTTTCAGCAGAGTTTTTAATTACTGTCCAAGCAGCCACCACCTAGGAGTTTATCTGCTTCATTACTATGTGACAGGGCTATAAAACTGCAGATAACCCTGGCTCTCTGGGCAGGAGGGCTGCTGCCTCATCAGCCACCGTCTACAATAATTAACCATGCAGGGAAATAAAAACAAATATTGGACAACAGATGCCTCATCTGTGACCGAAAGCCCCTGACTCAACGAAAGCCAACTGGGCTGTGCCTCGGTGGCTCTCACTGAAGTGTTCCTGAAAATCTCCACCCTCAGAGTTTCTGTTTCACCCACCTGTTCCCTCCGAGTAGCAACCTCCCCACATCGCCAGCCTTCCAGCTTTAATAATTCACCCTCACTCACTTTAATTTTTTTTTTTTTTTAGAGACAGGGCCTGATTTTGTCACCCAGGCTGGAGTGCAGTGGCCCAGTCATAGCTCACTGCAGCCTCGACCTCCTGGGCTCAAGCAATTCTCCCATCTCAGCCTCCTGAGTAGCTGGAACTACAGGCATGTGCCAGCACACCCAGCAAATTTAAAAAAAAAAAAAACTGTAGGCCGGACGTGGTGGCTCATGCCTATAATCCCAGCACTTTGGGTGGATGAGGTGGGCAGATTACCTCGGTTCAGGAGTTTGGAGACCAGCCTGGCCAACATGGTGAAACCCCGTCTCTACTAAAAATCCAAAAGTTAGCCGGGTGTGGTCGTGGGTGCCTATAGTTCCAGCTACTCAGGAGGCTGAGGCACAAGAATCACTTGAACCCGGGAGGCGGAGGTTGCAATGAGCCAAGATCATGCCACTGTACTCCAGCCTGGGAAACAGAGCGAGACTCTGTCTCAAAAAAAAAAAAAAAAAAAAAAATTGTAGAGATGATGTCTCAGTATGTTGCCCAGGCTGATCTTGAATTCCTGGTCTCAAGGGATCCTTCTGCCTGGGCCTCCCAAAGCTCTGGGATTATAGGCATGAGCCACCATGCCCAGCCCCCACCTTCATCTTTGAACACTCTTTTCTTATCCCTCCCTCTCTTCTCTAGTCTAAGTCTTTCATGGCCCCCAATCCTTCCACTTTACTTTGTTGCGTCAGACCACCAGAAGGCAAAATGCCTTCCTTGATCATAGGCTTGTTGGAGGATTAAACGAGGTAAAGTACATGAAGGATCCAGCTTGGTGCCTGACCCAAGGTGGGTGCTTGGTCAATAACTCTTAGTACCCTGTCAATAGATGTCTTAAATAACAATGCCAAGTATTTGCAGACATGTCATAATTTCTGGGAGTGCAGACTATCTACAGGTCAAATGTTGTTACCCAAAATGCAATGATCATCTTGCCTTACCAAAACGGTTCATAATCAACTCATTCATCCATTCATGCAACAGTGAGGGGGCTGGGTGCAGTGGCTCTTGACTGTAATCCCAGCAACTCAGGAGGCTGAGGTGAGGCCAGAGGATCGTTTGAGACCAGAAGTTGGAGGTTGCAGTGAGCTGTGATGGTGCCATTGCACTCCAGCCTGGGTGACCAAGGAAAAGCCGGACTCTAAAAATAAATATGTAAAATAAAATAGAATTAAAAAAATAAATAACAGCAAGGAGCTTGTGCATCACATTAAGTAATTTGGACACTTCTGTAGGCATTGGAGGCATTGATGTTTTAAAGTAATTTACAAAAATATACTTATTGAAACCATGTAACTGAACATCTACTAAGCTCCAAGCACCGTTCTAGACAGTGCGGATTAAACAGAGAACAAGAGTAACATGGTTCCTGTCCTCAGGGAGCTTAATAAAATTTAGAGGGGTAGGCTGGGCATGGTGGCCTGTAATCCCAGCACTTTGGGAGGCCAAGGCAGGTAGATCACCTGAGGTCAGGAGTTCAAGACCAGCCTGGCCAACATGGCAAACCCTGTCTCTACTAAAAATACAAAAATTAGCCAGGCATGCTGGTGGGTACCTGTAATCCCAGCTACTCTGGAGGCTGAGGCAGGAGAATCACTTGAACCTGAGAGACGGAGGTTGCAGTGAGCAGAGATCGCGCCACCGCACTCCAGCCTGGGCAACAGAGTAAGACTGCATCTCACACACACACACACACAAAAGGCCGGGCACGGTGGCTCACACCTGTAATCCTAGCACTTGGGAGGCCAAGGTGGGCGGATCACGAGGTCAGGAGATCGAGACCATCCTGCATAATACGGTGAAACCCCATCTCTACTAAAAATACAAAAAATTAGCTGTGCGTGGTGGCGGGTGCCTGTAGTCCCAGCTACTCGGGAGGCTGAGGCAGGAGAATGGAGTGAACCCGGGAGGCGGAGCTTGCAGTGAGCCGAGATTGCGCCACTGCATTCCAGCCTGGGCGACAGAGTGAGACTCTGTTTCAAAAAAAACCAAAAAAAACCAAAAAAAACAAAAACAGGTTTAGAAGGGGAGCCAGGCCCAAGGAGCTTGCAGGAAAGATGAATCAGTCCAGGCAAAAGGTACAGCTCCTGAAGTTTCCTGGAGGAACAGCTTGAGCTCGCTGGCAGGATAAATGGGAGTGGCCCAGATGCTGAGAGGGGCTCGGGCCTCCATATCCCAGTACAAGGGAATAGCACAGATGTTCCTGGAAGTGTTTCGAACATGCTGTTATACCAGAAGCTTGTTCTTAAACATAATTTGAAAGGCTTGCTGGGCTCCCAGCTTTTTTCATAAACCCACCATGTCTACATCATGGAGGTTTTGAGCCTTGGCTGCGTGGAATGTGGATTCAATGAAGCAACCTGTGCTTCAGTTTTTACATCTGAAAAATGGAGATGATAAAGACAACTCCACAGGGGTGTTAACAGAATAAAATGAAACAACGTACTGAAAGCATTTGGAGGCAGTAAAAGGTAGATATTGTCATGTATGTTTATCCTTGCCAACTTGCCACCTCCTGCCTAGTCCCCACCCACAGGTGAAAGAAGGTGAGATAGATGCTACATAGTCCCTAAAAAAAAGTTCTTTGTTTCATCTGTGGCACCACTGATTTATTAATTAATATCTTTGGAGAAGAAGCTGATGCCTGCCTTTTAGCTGCTTTGACCATTGTATAGACTCTGTTAGTTAGTTACCCAATATTCATTCCCTCATTCGACTTTGCTAACAGAATGCAATTTTGCTTGGAGTAGCAATGTGCCAGCCTCAGAGGTTGGATCGAGATGGATTTAAGCAATCTGGCCATGTGACCCAGTTTTGGCCAATGAGATCTATGCAGAAAGCTTCTGCTTTTTTGACAAATGAGTTCACAGCTGGCATTGTCTCTGCCACCCTCTTACTGCCTTGAGTTGGGAAGGTGACCGGAGCTGTGGCAGCCACTGTGTGATCATGAGTAAATGGTGAAATCTGAGACAGTGGTTCTGACATGACCGGGCCACTCAATCAATACCACAATGTCTGTTTAGAGAGAAGATAGATCCTTAGGTGTTTAGCCACTGTAATGGTTTTGGTTATAGGCAGTCAAATGTAATCCTGACTGGTTGAGCAGGGTTGAGCATAGACTGTTCAGAGCCATGAGCACCAAACAATGCATCAAGTCATGGGTATCTGGGGTCTAGAGTCAGGTTACCAGGCAGGCTCAGGAACTTAGAACCCAAGTCCTTGCAGTGAGGCAAGGACTGGAATACAGGGGTGCTGAGTCCCCTTGCTCAGCCAGAAACATGGAAGATGAGTTTGGAGGAGGAGGAAGTGCTTCCATCCAACCTAATAGGCTGGGGCATGTTGAGGACAGAGGAATGGGTCTCCAGCAGGGACAAGAAGGGCTCAAACTCCCTGACATTTGGCTGGATCTGGGGTTTTCACTCCACTGCACGTCCTGCCCACTTGTTTCCTCAACAGATTGTAGTGTCTTGTTCCTCTGATTCTTTCTCATGAGGCCTTATTTTTACAACCTCCCTTTGTCCACCTGTGGCTCAGAATAAGGTAGAAAGCTGAGAGGGCAGCAAGCTTAAAACTCCAAGGGGCGGTAGCCCCTTCTCCCTGGCCACCCTCTCCGTGCATAAACATTTGCTGAGTGGGTGACTGAATGCATGAAGGAGCATATCCTGCAGATTCCATGCTCTCACTATCTGTGCTAATCCATAATAATTTCTATTTGACTTTGGAATGCATTACGTAATTTGCATTCTGCAAATTTACCTTCCTAATTATGTTCTTCTTTGACTAACACAGAACTTAATTTGCACAGATTGAGTGATGGTCGGGGGAGGTTTGCTAGGTGGGATCATTAGGTGGCTAATCCATACATTGGCAGTCAAGAGTTGTCTATATTGGGAAGGTCAACTAGACTGATATTTGAAGCAGGGGTGGCGTGTGTGTGTATGTGTGGGCCTGGCGTCTTGCTTCTGCCTCAGCCATTCTGTGGAAACTGTGTTCCATAAAAACACTGCCTACCAGCTTGGTCTTGGCTTAGGCTTTCTGGCCTATCCTGCCACTGTTCTGAGAGTGACATGGTAGTCCATGGCTTTAAAGGCCCAGCATTGAATTAGATTTACACCTGGCCTTGCTCAGACTTCAGGACCTCAATGCTAGCAACTAGGTTCCCAGGTGAGTATCCTGGGTACAGGGATACTGCATTCTCCCTCCACTTGCCCAATGCATAAAAGAATGAATGAATGGTTGGATGGCTGGATGGCTGGATGGGTGGATGAACTCTTTATACAACAGGTTCCCAGTCTCGAATCTCAGTTCTTTAGAAATGAATGCTGTTTATTGACTCTTGTACCATCCACCCACCTGGATCTTCACTGACTGAACCTTCTGTTAGGGCTGGGTCTGAAGTTCACCTGGACCTTGATTAACTGGCTCTACTTTGCCCTGGAAAGGATCCCAAGCTCTCAATCTGGTTGGAGATTTTAGGCCTTATGTGCCAGGGCCTGGGATGGCTGGTTCCTGGTCTTGTTCTAATGTTTAGATGTCGATGGGGCCTGGCCTGGCCATGTGCCTTTGAGCTGGCAGGTCTCAACCCAGCTGCACAGCCAGCATTCAGTACAAATGAACCACTGATACTCAACTCATTCATAGTCTTTGTCCTGAACCATTCGCTTCAACGTAGCTAGCTTGGATTTTGTTCCTACTGCCTTCTAGGTATCTTGGCTCCCACCCCTATATTAACCCCCGGACTGATTTATGATTCCACACCATTGGCTGTGATCTCATGGTTCCCTCCTGGACAATGGGTCACACCTCACTTCCTAACCCACAATCCTGTCACTGGGCTCTGCCTTTGCTCCTCGATGACGGTTCACGGCAATTTCTTTGAGTACATCACCCATAGCTGCTTTTGATTAACATTGGCCAAATCCAGGACCCTATATCCATGGCATCTTGTAGCCTTCTCTCTCCTGGGTCTATCTGACTTCAGGAAATAGAGCAGGATGTTCATACCGATGAATCAGCTTGGAACCTTAACACCAGGTTCCCCTGATCTCTCTTGGCAACTGTCATTCATCAAACATTGATTAAATACTAACTGCATGTCCAGCACTGTGCTGGGCACTAGAGATTAAATGGTGACCTGAACGTAAGCAGTCATTACACTGAACCCCACTGGAGAGACACACATGTAAACAGCAAGTGCAATGTAGCAAGTTAAAGCCAGAACAGAAGTACCTGAGCTCTATGAACCAGCACAGCACCTCCCAGCAAGGCAAAGTCAGAAACAGAATAAGGAAGATGAAATCGACGTCAGATGCCAAATGGTTTCCGACTAGAAGGCCTAGGGGATTGTTGTCCCTGAGTTTCCTCTCGGGAAACCAGACCTACTTCCTCCTCTGACTAGGGGGTCAGGGGTTGGCAGGGGTTTGTGGGGGAAGAGGCACTGATAGCCCAGGTCTTCCCCTGTCTTTACCAATCATAAGTGCCACACGAGCTGAGCTGATAATCAACTATGGACGGCCAGCCAGGCACTCTCCGCAGCTACCTCGGCACAGAGGAAGACCTTATCAAACCTCACCACTTGAAAGGAGAAGGATTGCTCCAAAGTGAATGCCCTGTTCCTACCGCACAGGAGAGTTGGAGGAATTACTGAACACACCATGACTGCAAAGTCTCACCCAAGATAATGTGGAAAGGACTTTCGAAGAACTCCCTGATTCTAAGAAAAAATTAGAAGGAAGCCGTCATCTCCATGGGATAAGGTGAAAAATCAAGACGCAGATAGCAAAGAGGTCCTGGAGCAAGGCAGCATCAGAGTCGAGAGGAAAGCAGATGACACGAATTAACATGAAGGTTCGTTCCCTTCTCCTCCCCCATCACTGCTCACAGCCCACACTCAGGGTATGATACCCAGAAAAATGACCTCACCCTTTTGGACTGTGGGAGAAGAGAAAATCTGAAAGACTTTGTCATTCTGTCCAAATGATAGAATTTATTTGTTCAAAGATATTACATATACTTTACAAACATTTTTTTAAAGAATTTATTTTGGCCAGGTGTGATGGCTCATGCCTGCAATTCCAGCACTTTGGGAGGCTGAGGCGGGCGGATCACCTGAGGTCAGGAGTTCAAGACCAGCCTGGCCAACATGGTGAAACCCCGTCTCTAATAAAAATACAAAATTCGCCGGTTGTGGTGGTGGGATCTGTAATCTCAGCTACTTGGGAGACTGAGGCAGGAGAATTTCTTGAACCCGGGAGGCGGAGGTTGCAGTGAGCCAAGATGGTACCATTGCACTCCAGCCTGGGTAACAGAGCGAGACTCCATCTCAAAAAAAAAAAAAAAAAAAAAAGAATGTATTTGGAAAGAATTATTTAATTACTATGAATTAATTATCCAAGTAATTAATTATTTAATTACTTGGACAAAAGTATAATAGCAAAGGAAGTAGTGTCAGGAGTGGTGGAGGGGTCATTTTAATGAATAGATGAGGCTTACTGGAGAAGAGAACATAATCATTTTATGAAAATGATGCCGAACGTCCTCAAGAAAGTGCTTTTCCTTCCTCTTCCTGTCTGATTGGGCTCCCCTGTACCATATACTCGCTTTCTGGAGGTGGCATTCCCTCAGAACACAAGCTGGACAAGGCACAAGGCAAGAGACAGGCTTATCCATCAAGGAAGGTCCAAGGCTGGTCACAGTGGCTCACGCCTGTAATCCTAGCACCTTGGGAGGCCAAGAGGGCCGATCACTTGAGCTAAGGATTTTGAGACCAGCCTGGCAACAGGGCGAGACCCCGCCTCTACAAAAAATACAAAAATTAGCCAGACGTGGTGTCACATGCCTGTAGTTCCAACTATTCGGGAGGCTGAGGTGGGAGGATTGATTGAGCCCAGCGGGTGGAGGCTGCAGTGAGTTGTGATTGTGCCACTGCACTTCAGCCTGGGCCATAGAGTGAGACTCTGTCTCCAAATAAATAAATGAAAGAAGGTCCAAAAATATGATCTTTATAATACTTGGTATGTTGTTTATTTCTTTGTCAAAATCTTTTGTGTTAGCCATGGTTCTCCTAGAAGCAGAGACTAAAAATAAATTTAAAGCAGAAAGGATTTATTAGAAGAAAGGTCTGTGGGAGAAGCAGGGAGGGAGACAGAGAAAGTGAGGAGGGCCACACAATCCCAAATGAAGGGGAGAGGAAAGGAAGTTGGGTGGGGGCCTGGAACAGTGGCTCACACCTGTAATCCCAGCACTTTGGGAGGCCGAGGTGAGTGGATCACTTGAGGCCAGGAGTTCGAGACCAGCCTGGCCAACATGGAGAAACCCCCGTCTCTACTAAAAATACAAAAATCGGCCAGGTGTGGTGGCACAGGTCTGTCATCCCAGCCACTCGGGAGGCTGAGGCAGGAGAATTGCTTGAACCTTGGAGGCAGAGGTTGCAGTGAGCTGAGATCATGCCACTGCACTCCAGCCTGGGTGTCAGAGTGAGACTGTCTTATAAAAAAGAAAGAGGGAAGGGAAGGGGAGGAGAGGGGAGGGGAGGCGAGGGGAGGGAAGGGAAGGGAAAGTTGGGTAGGATCTAGTTTATGATGGGTAAAAAAAATTTTTTTTTAAAAAGAAGAAATTTGGGTGGGAGTGTCCTGGACTCCCATGCAGTCTAAGGAAGGTTTGGGAAGGCCCTTGGAGAATTCTCAAGCTCAAGTCACCATTGGAGGAGCCCTGCACCTCCCATGAACAGGCTGCCTTAGTGTCTCTGACGTGCTCAGTTGCTGGCCGAGAGCTGCAGAATTGGGATAGCAGCGCCAGCGTCTGGGGCGCTTGGTCTATTATAGGCTGTATTACTCAGGGTTCTCCAGAGAAACAGAACCAATAGGAAATGTGTAGATATAGAGAAAGAGATTTATTATGGGGGATTGGCTCACACAATTATGAAGACTGAGAAGTTCCACAATCTGCCATCTGCAAGCTGAAGACCCAGGAAAACTGGTAGTATAGTTCCAGTCCAATGAAGCCCAGAGGCCTGAGAACCAGGGAAACCAATGGCATAGGTCCCAGTCTGAATCCTAAGTCCCCCAAACCAGGAGTGCTGATGCCTGAGGGCAAGAGAAGGTGATGTTCCAGCTCAAGCAGACAGCAAATTCATGCTTCCTAAACCTTTTTCTATTTGAGCTCTCAGTGGATGACATGACGCTCACCTGGATTGGTGAAGGCAAACATTATTCAATCTACCGATTCAAATGCTAATCTCTTCTGGAAATACCCTCACGGACATACCCAGAAATAATGTTTTACCAGCCATCTGGGCATCCCTTAACCTAGTCCAGTAGACACATAAAATTAATCATCACACATGGAAGTCTGGTCACTTCACATCTCTTCACAGCGACGGCGGCTCCAGTTTCCAGTCCAAATCAGTGTACGTGCTAGGGGGCTTTCTGCACAGCTTTTGGGTGGGGTAGTCAATCGAAGAGATCAAGTTTGCATGCTGGAATATTTTAGTTGCTGAGATATTTCAATGGTTTGTGAAGACCATGGGGAAATAAACATTTAAAATTAAAAGTGGCTTGGAAAATCAAGGCAGTTTCTCAGCGGTAGTCCCCCGTTGACAGAAATATTTGGGACACTTGTTATAATTTCTTTATTTCTACCCAGACTTATTTAATCAAACCTTGGAGGTGAGAACCAGAGCTCTAATACACACCAATACCGTATTTATAGTTAGCATCAAAGTAAAGGGAAGTTTGAGGTGATTTACACCAAATCCAAACTCAGTGATATCCGAGTAAGTGAAATTTGACTATATTTTAATATTGCAATCTCCCTGCATTTTTCTTGCCACTGATAGCTACATCCACCCTTTTGCTTTAAATTCCTTCTATTTTCCAATCCCTTCTGTCAGACAGCTAAAAAAAAAAAATGGTTACAATATTCTTAGAAAACTGTGCTTCAGAGAAAGCAGTGAGGTTACTCAATTGTTTCTCCTCTGTTAATTTGAGAATCTTAAATTATGCATGTTGTTTTGCACACATTTGCATGTTCAATTCACATGCCTGAGTTATTCGTCTACAAGATAAAACCAAGCATAGTAATTCAAGTAACCTGTGTCTGATTTCTCTTCACCCAAATTTCAGGGCTAACCGAGTTGCAGTTAAAGAATGGATAATTAAATCACTTGGGAAGCGCAGGGGAGTGCTGGTGGATAGGAAAGATGGGGTTACTGAGCCAACTCCTGCCTCCATCCCGTCTGGATTGTCAATCGTTTCTCCTTCCATGACCTGCTGGATTTCATAACCTCCACGAGGCCCCTTTCCCAGAAGGGACTCACTGTCCTGGTTACAATCCTTAAATCTAGCTGGGCAGGAAGGCCAGGAGTGGAGTTTGTCCTCTGCCTGGTGTGGATAACCTTGAACATAAAGAAACCACCACAATACAAACGGCCCTGAAATCTGAACCAATGCCACCGCAATATGCAGATGAGAAAGTCAGAACCATTCCTCCATTGGCTGACTGCCGGCCTGACGTCACAGTGGCCCAGCCCAGCGTGGCCAGAAGTGCTGTGGGCAACTTTCTGGACAAGTTGGAAAGCTTGTGTGTGTGGGTGTGTGTGTGTGTGTGTGTGTGTGGGTGTGTGTGTGTGGGGGGGGGGGGGTCTTTTTTTTTTTATCAGCTGGTGCTGGTTTCCTGCATTTCCTGTGTTACGGGGGGGGAAAAAGGTGTTTATGTACAGCAAGAACTGATGAACTCAGGGCTGAAGAGCATTTTGTTCTCTGTGGCAGCTCTATCCCTTTCCTTAGGGGAGATCTATGTTAGAAACAAAAATGTCATAGGGGAAGGTTGTGAATTCTAAATGAACTGTGGGGACCTCACGAACCTCTTCAGCTTAGTGGTTTCCAGGAAGCCCCAGGCTGAGCCAAACTTTGTGACTTAGCTGGTGTGAGTCTTTGGCTGTGATCTTGACCACAAACTTCAAGATATGCAGGCATGGGAGGCTGGGGGCCTTTTTTATTTTTCTCTACCTCACTTTGCCAGGTTCAATGCAAAGACAGAATCCAATCCTCTGATCTGTGAACTTCTGACGATTCCCCGCCCTCAATGTGCTGGTGGTAGGAAAATTTCCTCTTCTCTTTTCTTTTCTTTCTTTCTCTTTCTCTCTTTCTTTCTCTTTCTTTCTCCCTCCCTGCCTTCCTGCCTTCCTTCCCTCCCTCCCTCCTTTTCTTTCTTTTCTTTTCTTTTCCCTTCTTTCCTTTCTTCCTTCCTTCCTTCCTTCTTTCTGTTTCTTTTAGACGGAGTCTCGCTCTGTCGCCCAGGCTATAGTGCAATGGCACGATCTCAGCTCACTGCAAGCTCCACCTCCCAGGTTCACGCCATTCTCCTGCCTCAGCCTCCCGAGTAGCCTGGACTACAGGTGCCCGCCACCACGCCCGGCTAATTTTTTAATTTTATTTATTTATTATTTTTTTTTGAAGAGGCGGGGTTTCACCATGTTAGCCAGGATGGTCTCAATCTCCTGACCTCGTGACCCACCTGCCTCGGCCTCCCAAAGTGCTGGGATTACAGGCGTGAGCCACCGCACCGGTCTTCCTTCCTTCCTTCCTTCTTTCTTTTTCTTTCTTTCTTTCCCTCCCCGCCCTCCCTCCATTCCTTCCTTCTTCTTTCTTTCTTTCCCTCCCCTCCCTCCCTCCCTCCCTTCCTTCCTTCTTTCCCTCCCCTCCGCTTCCTCCCTTCCTTCCTTCCTTCTTTTTCTTTCTTTCTTTCCCTCCCCTCCCTCCCTCCCTTCCTTCCTTCTTTCTTTTCTTTCTTTTTTTTCTGACAGAGTCTTGCTTTATCACCCAGGCTGGAGTGCAGTGGCACAATCTCAGCTCACTGCAACCTCCACCTCCCAGGTTCAAGCCATTCTCCTCCTCAGTCTTCCAAGTAGCTGGAATTACAGGTACACACCATCATGCCTGGCTAATTTTTGTATTTTTAGCAGAGAGATGGGATTTCACTATGTTGGTCAGGCTGGTCTCAAACTCCTGACCTTAGGTGATCCGCCCACCTCAGCCTCCCAAAGTGCTGGGATTACGAGTGTGAGCTGCCGCACCCTACCTAGAGAGAGAGATTTCTTACGATGTTATTTGAGCACCTGGATCCAGCTGGACCTGAAACCACAACTCCTGCACATTTTTGTTAATGGCACCAATACATTTACATTTTGATGTAATTTGGATTGAGCTGAATTTCTGTAAAGTCAGTAAAGGAGTTCTCACTGGTACCTCCAACTTCCCCTGGGCCCCTCCCTGTGTGGTTTCTTACTAGTCTCTTCTGCTTCTGTCAGCGTTGGTGGGGGAGGGAAAGAGTCCATGTGATGGCATATGGGTGATAGATAGGGGAGTTGAGTCATGGTGGAGTACAGCCCAGGGATCAACCTAAGGAGACTGGGGTCAGATAGGACTGGGCAACGAATATCCCCTTTCTGAGCCTCAGTTCTCCCATCTGTAACATGGGAAGAGAGACAGTCCCTCCCTCTTGGGGTTGTCTGCAGGTGGGATGTGGTGTCTAGGGCATAATAAGTGCTCAAGAAAAAGTGGCTATTAGAATAGTCCTAGATGGGGTCTTCTCCAGGCCTCTGGTGCAATGCAGGGACAATGGAGGGGAAGGGAAGGTTTTTAGAACCTTCCCTGGGGTTTGTAACCAACAACTCTGGGCCTCTGTTGTCACTGCCAACCACAAGCACCTGCCGAGCAAACGGCATGCACCTGTCACCCGTCACTCCGAGAAGGGGCTCCAATCCAGCCAGAGCAGGCGGCCTCTATTCTAGGCCAGATCCTGGCTGTGTGCAGCGTCTGTGAGCTCGCCCACCTGTTCTGAAACCCAGCTGGGCTCCAGTCTCTGCCTGTCCCACCTCCCACCCCCAGCTTCCTTCCTGGAGCAAACGTTGATCCGATGCCTTTCATGTCCCAGGGACTGTGCTAGGAACCATGGGGATGCAAGGGCAGAAACCTGAGTTAGCGAGTTTCATACTTTGTGCCATGCTGTGTGCCCAGGGTGGGCATTGCATATGCTTGTCTCAGCCACACAAAGCCTGAGAGGTGTGCTAAACACACCCGTTTTGTAGAGGCTCAGACTGAAAGCACTGCCTGCTGAAGGTGGTGGAGTTGATACAAACACTGTGTGTTTCTTTTCTTTTTTCTTTTTCGAGACAAGATCTTGCTCTGTTGCCCAGGGTGGAGTGCAGTGGCGTGATCTCGGCTCACTGCAGCCTCAAACTCCTGGGTTCAAGTGATTGTCCTGCCTCAGCCTCCTGAGTACCTGGAACCACAGGTGTGTGCCACCACACTCGGTTGAGTTTTAAATTTTTGGAAATGGGGTCTCACTACGTTGCCCAGGCTGGTCTCAAACTCCAGGCCTCAAGCAATCATCCCTCCTCGGCCTCCCAAAAAGCTAGGTTTACAGGCGTGAGCCACTGCGCCTGGCCCTGTGTGTTTCTTCAAAGCCCATATTCTTTAATATGCTGCCTGTTACAATAAGGATTACACTGTGAAATGCTATTACATTTAAAAACATAGTGCAGGCCGGGCGCGGTGGCTCACGCCTGTAATCCCAGCACTTGGGGATGCCAAGGTGGGCGGATCACAAGGTCAGGAGTTCGAGACCAGCCTGACCAACATGGTGAAACCCCGTCTCTACTAAAAATACAAAAATTAGCCGGGTGTGGTGGCACGCGTCTGTAATCCCAGCTACTCGGGAGGCTGAGGCAGGAGAAGCGCTTGAACCCGGGAGGCAGAGGTTGCAGTGAGCCAAGATCTCACTGCTGCACTCCAGCCTGGGCAAGAGAGGGAGAGTCTGTCTCAAAAAGAAAAAAAAAAGAAAAAATTAGTGTATAGCTGGCTGGGGTGGCTCATGCCTGTAAACTTGGGAGGCTGAGGTGGGAAGATTTCTTGAGCCCAGGAGTTCGAGGCTGCAATGAGCTATAATTGAGCCACTGCACTCCAACCTGGGTGACAGAGTTAGGTCTTGATTAAAAAAAAACAAAAAAACAACATAGTGCCTAGTATATAGTAAGTGCCAATAAATAGTAGATATAAATCCTACTTGGATTCTAGCTCTCACATAGCCATGGTATGTAGAGTAGGGAGTATGTAGATGTTAATACATCTACATGGTATGTAGATATATTAATAACTGACTCAAAAACAGAAGGCAGGGCTGGGCGCGCTGGCTCACGCCTGTAATCCCAGCACTTTGGGAGGCCAAGGCAGGTGGATCACGAGGTCAGGAGATCGAGACCATCCTGGCTAACATGGTGAAACCCTGTCTCTCTACTAAAGATACAAAAAATTAGTCCGGTGTGGTGGCAGGCGCCTGTAGTCCCCAGCTACTCGGGAGGCTGAGACAGGAGAATGGCATGAACCTAGGAGGCAGAGCTTGCAGTGAGCCGAGATCATGCCACTGCACTCCAGCCTGGGCGACAGAGCAAGACTCCATCTCAAAAAAAGAAAAAAAAAAAAACAAAAAGCAGAAGGCAGAAAGCAGAGCTGTGCAACAGACATAGACTGTGAACCCCATATGTAATGAAACATTTTCTAGTAGCCACATTAAAAAGAAACAGGTGAAATTACTTTTTATAAGATATTTTATTTAGCCCAATATGCCTCAAATATTATAATGCTAACATGTAATCAATATAAAACTGTTGTTATTATTATTATTATTGAGACAGGGTCTCATTTTGTCACCCAGGCTGGAGTGCAGTGGTGTAATCACAGCTGGCTGCAGCCTTGACCTCCTGGGCACAAGCGATCCTCCCACATCAGCCTTCTGAGTAGCTGGGACTACAAGAATGCGTTACCATGCTCAGCTAATTTCTGTGTCTTTTGTAGAGACAGGATTTTGCCATGTTGCCCAGGCTGGTCTCGAACTCCAGGGCTTAAGTGATCTGCCTGCCTCAACCTCCCAAAGTGCTGAGAATACAGGTGTGAGTCACCACACTTTGTTTTTTTGTTTGTTTGTTTGTTTTGAGACGGAGTCTTGCTCTGTCGCCCAGGCGGGAGTGCAGTGGTGTGAACTCAGCTCACTGCAAGCTCTGCCTCCCGGGTTCACACCATTCTGTCTCAGCCTCCCGAGTAGCTGGGACTACAGGTGCCCACCACCATGCCTGGCTAATTTTTGTATTTTTAGTAGAGATGGGGTTTCACTGTATTAGCCAGGATGGTTTCGATCTCCTGACCTCATGATCTGCCTGCCTCGGCCTCCCAAAGTGCTGGGATTTACAGGCGTGAGCCATTGTGCCCTACCCCACAATTTGCATTTTCTGCATTTTTTTTTTTTTTTTTTTGAGACAGAGAGTCTCACTCTGTCACCCAGGCTGGAGTGCAGTGGCATGACCTTGATCTTGGCTCACTGCAACCTCCACCTCCCGAGTTCAAGCAATTCTCCCGCCTCAGCCTCCTGAGTAGCTGGGATTACAGGTGTGTGCCACCACACCTGACTAATTTTTGTATTTTTAGTAGAGATGGGGTTTCACCATGTTGTCCCGGCTGGTCTCGAACTCCTGACTTCAAGTGATCTGCCTGCCTCAGCCTTCCAAAGTGCTGTGATTACAGCCATGAGCCACTGCACCCGGCCAAAAAAAAATTATTAATGAGACATTTTACATTCTTTTTTTTTTTTTTGGACGAAGTCTTTGAAATCTCTGTGTAAGTATAGAGCATCCCAATTGAGGTGCTAAATTTTTATCAGAAATACTTGATCTGTATTTAGATCTCATAAAATTTATGGTTGAATAAGTTCGAGTATAATTTGCATACCCAAGGTGCTCCAAGCAAAGTTTTCCAATAACTGAATGCAGTATTAGTTTTTTTAGCTTAAATATAAAGGTAAATAAAATTAAAAATTCAGTTACACGGTCACACTTGCCACATTTCAGTGCCCAATAGCCATATCTGGCCATTGTGTTAAGCAGGGTGGTAGAAAGGACGCCTGTGAGGTAGAGGATTCCAGGTGAGACTTTAGGGGTTGATATTTAGTGTGGAGAAAATACATGTCAAAACACATGGACAAAAAGAGGCAAATTCTGCGGTTGTCTACCCAATATCTGTAACCCCTTTTCCTTAGCAACTCAATTTAGATTTTTGTTAGGAGTAGCAATAGATCAAATTAAAAAAAAGAAAGAAAGAAAGAAAGAAAAACTACATTTGTGAGCTCCCTTTACAGATAGTGTTCCTAAGTCATATCTTATTAATAGTCACTGGGAAGGCTGGACACAGTGGCTCACGCCTGTAATCCCAGCACTTTGGGAGGCCAAAGGGGGACGGATTACATGAGTTCAGGAGTTCTAAACCAGCCTGGCCAACATGATGAAACCCCATCTCTAGTAAAAATATAAAAATTAGCCAGGCGTGGTGGTGGGCTCCTGTAATCCCAGCTACTTGGGAGGCTGAGGCAGGAGAATTGCTTGAACCTGGGAGGTGGAGGTTGCAGTGAGTTGAGAGGGTGTCATTGCACTCAGCCTGGGCGACGGAGTGAGACTCAAAAAACAAACAAACAAACAAAAAAACTAAGTGGGAAGTAGTTGGGTGGAGCTTCCAGGAAATCTCTTTAAAGAATGGGGCTGACTCACCTGAGATACCCTTCTGCCCTCCCTTCTTCCTCCTTCTTTGTGCCTGGAATGAAGACATGATGGCTGGAGTTGCAGTAGTAATTGTGTGACCTTGATCACTGAAACCATGCTCTAAGGATATCAGAGAGGAAAGACAGAATGAACATGGGATATTGATGATCTGGGGGACATGTCAACCTGGACTTTTTTTTTTTTTAAAAAAAGATTTCTTTTTTAAGAAAAGAAATCTTTACCTTGTTTAAACCACTGTTATTTCAGTTCCCTGTTACTAGAAGTCAAGCACAATTCCTAACTGATACAAAAGTGTGCAAGTGTCAAAAAAGAAGTGAATAGTTTGGTGTGACTTGTGTATTTGATAAACCATCCTAGGAAAAGCATTTGTTTATTATTTACTTAATGAATACTGCTTGCAGGACTTGTAAAGTATAATGTATGTAATCACCACCGCTTTTACGTTTTATAGATAAGGAAACTGAGACAGAAGTGAAGCAATTTGGTCAAGGTCCCAAAGCTAACAAGTAGTGAATGTGGCTGGGCGTGGTGGCTCATGCCTATAGTCCCAGCTGAGGCATTTTGGGAGGCTGAGGCAGGTGGATCACATGAGGTCAGGAGTTCAAGATCAGCCTGGCCAACATGGTAAAACTCCGTCTTTACTAAAAATACAAAAATTATCCGGGCGTGGTGGCACACAACCATAGTCCCAGCTACTCGGGAGGCTAAAGCAAGAGAATCGCTTGAACCTGCAAGGCAGAGGTTGCAGTGAGCTGAGATCGTGCTACTACACTCCAGCTTGGGCAACAGAGCAAGACTGTCTCAAAAACAAAACAAAACAAAAAACCCAAGTAGTGAATGTAGGCTTCCAGTCCAGGCAGTTTGACCAAAGGGCCGCTGTCTTATGTAGAAGTCAAGGAATTACGGCTGAATAATGTGAAGGAATTCGAACTGGGTTCAGACACGTGAACCGTGGCCTGGATGTCCCAATCTCACTTGCCTGGTGTCCTCGGGCCCCTGTGGGTCTCCGAACACCAACTTCAGCTCATCTACTTGGGTGTGCCACACCAGTGGTACACCAGTGTGACTGCACCAGTGTGACTGCAATTGTGTGTGTGCCATTGTGTGTCACACCAATGCGACTGCACTCTAGACTCTGGGCCATTCTCCTGGGATTTGCCTCCAAGCCCCTCCCCCTTCATGATATGCTAACTGGCTTTGTAGAGGTGGCCTGTTGGCGGCACACTGTATTCTGCACATGCTGGAATCGGTGCCAGCTCTCCTGTTTCCCCGCAAGCTGTTTGGTCCAGCAGGGAGCTTCCTTGTTTTTGCTCTAAGTGCAGTGGCTTTCCCGAGGGCGCCCGCAGCAGAAAGGACTGGAGTCGGTCTGTCTGGGCTATTGTTCAGCTGGTAGGCATCCGTATGCCATGCTGGGCATTCATAGCTGGCGTCTATTCTGATTGGCCAGTGGCCATGCTGTGCTGGTTATTAAAGAGTTTTAATATAACCCCAGCCTGAGTTATAAACTATGTGTCTTAGCATTTATATGATCATGGGCAAACCACTTCACTTCTTAGTTTTAATGTACTCATCTATAAAATGGGAATATAATACATCCAGGGGTTACGAAGAAGGCAAAATCAGACCACGTCTGCAAAGGACTTAGCAGTGCACCTAGCTCCCTGACCGTGCTTGGTAGCTGGTAGGAACTATTATTTTGCTAGTGACGTCTTGGATCTCAAGTGTGGGCAGGTCAGAGCTCTTGCTTCCTGGGTTGACAGTGAAGGGTGAGGAACAGCCTTGACATTGAAAAACCGCAGGCTATTAGCTCTAAACTTCTGCCTGGTATAATGGAAGGAACATCGGTCTTGGATTTAGGTATTCTGGGGTCTGGTTCTAGCTTAGGTTGCTGATGTGGGACAGTCCCTTGGGAGCTGTGAGTGAGAGGATGTGGGACAAAGTCCCATGAGGTCAGGTAGGCTGTGCAAATGGAAGAAACTGAGCAACTGGGGACTCGGGATTCCGATACTAGGAGAAGGCAGAGGTAGTGGGCATGGGGCCTGGGGATGGGAAACATTCTCTTTTAGAGACAGTGTCTTGCTCTGTGGCCCAGGCTAGAGTGCAGTGGCACCATCACGGCTCACTGCAGCCTCAAGCTCCTAAGCTCAAGCGAAAGCCCAGCCAATTTTTTATTTTTTATTTTTTGTAGAGATGGGGTTTCACTATGTTGTTCAGGCTGGTCTTGAACTCCTGGGGTCAAGTGATCCTCCCACCTCAGCCTCCCAAAATACTGGGATTACAGGAGTGAGCCACTGAGCCCAGCCAAAGGGTCTTCTTTTTTTTTTTTTTGAGATGGAGTCTTGCTCTGTTGCCCAGGCAGGAGTGCAGTGGCGCAATCTTGGCTCACTGCAACCTCTGCTTCCCAGGCTCAAGCAATTATCCTGCCTCAGCCTCCCCAGTAGCTGGGACCACAGATGACTGTCACCACACCCAGCTAATTTTGTATTATTAGTAGAGATGGGGTTTCACCATGTTGGCCAGGCTGGTCTCAAACTCCTGACCTTGTAGTGATCCACCCACCTGAGCCTCCCAAAGTGCTGGGATTACAGGCATGAGCCACCGCACCCGGCCCCAAAGGATCCTCTCTTAAAGTAGGACGGTTCTGGCAGCCTGGGGTGGCTCCTGACAACTTTGTGAAGCGGAGGGAGATAGAAATAAACATCTATTAAGTTCCTACTATGAGCCAAACTCTATGTGTTATCTTAATTTTTATAAAGGAGTTCAAGGAAGATTTTTTTTTTTTTTTTGATACGGAGTCTTGCTCTGTCGCCAGGCTAGAGTATAGTGGCGTGATCTCGGCTCACTGCAACCTCCACCTCCTGGGTTCAAGCAGTTCTCCTGTCTCAGCCTCCCAAGTAGCTGGGACTACAGGTGCGTACCACCAAGCCCAGCTAATTTTTGTACTTTTAGTAGAGATGAGGTTTCACCATGTTGGCCAGGATGGTCTTGATCTCTTGACCTTGTGATCCACCCGCCTCGGCCTCCCAAAGTGCTGATTGTATCCCCATTTTATAGAGGAGGAGATTGAGGCCTGGAGACAGAAGTGATTTGGGCAAGGGCCGCATTGCTGGGAGGCAGCAGAGGAGCCAGAATTCAAACGCAAGCCTGACTGTCCATGGGAGTATCTTTTTAGTTTCTTGAAAAATACCAATGTTGGCCCCTCAGGGCTTCCTCCTGCCTCTGCTGTGCCTCTGCCTGACATTTCCTCTGCATCCTCCAAGTGCTTCCCAGGCTGGCTTCTTCTTGCCCTGCTGGTCTCTGTTTAAACATCGCCCTTTGAGGAGGCCTTTCCTGACCCCTCCTCCCCCCGCCGCATCTACCAGCGTAATTCTGGCTCTTTGAGTGGTTTACTGCGTCACAAGTCACAATCACTTATTAACTTTTTGTTTGCTTCTTTTATCTAGACGAGGGCTTTAATTTCAAGGAGCTCACATTCAAATGGAGCAGAAAGGCACTGAACCCAGAAACAAATAATTCTCTAGGATGGTGGTAAGTAGTAAGAAGAAAATAAAACAAGGCAACAGGAGAGAAAGTGATGGAGGGGAAGCAGAATGTAGACGGGCTGATCCAGGAAGGCTTCTCTAGGAGGTGATGTTTTTTGATGAGATCTGAGAGTTGAGGAGAAAGTTGTTTGAAAATCCAGGGAAATGGCAGGGCATGGTAGCTCACTCTGTAATCCCAGCACTTTGGGAGGCTGAGGCGGGCTGATCACTTGAGGTCAGGAGTTCAAGACCAGCCTGGCCAACATGGTGAAACACTATCTCTACTAAAAATACAAAAAATTAGGCCGGGCGCAGTGTCTCACGCCTGTAATCCCAGCACTTTGGGAGGCCAAGGCAGGCAGATCACGAGGTCAGGAGATCGAGACCATCCTGGCTAACACGGTGAAACCCTGTCTCTACTAAAAATACAAAAAAAATTAGCCAGGCGTGGTGGCGGGTGCCAGTAGTCCTAGCTACTCGGGAGGCTGAGGCAAGAGAATGGCGTGAACCCAGGAGGCGGAGCTTGCAGTGAGCTGAGATCGCGCCACTGCACTCCAGCCTGGGCGACAGAGCTAGACTCCGTCTCAAAAAAAAAAATTAGCCGGGCGTGGTGGTGGGCACCTGTAATCGCAACTACTTGGGAGGCAGAGGCAGGAAAATTGCTTGAACCTGGAAGGTAGAAGTTGCAGCAAGCCAAGCTTGCACCACTGCACTCCAGCCTGGACGACAGAGTGAAACTGTGTCAAAAAAAAAAAAAAAAAAAAAAAAGGCCGGGAGCGGTGGCTTATGCCTGTAACTCCAACATTTTGGGAGGTTGAGGCGAGTGGATCACCTGAGGTCAGGAGTTCGAGACCAGCCTGACCCATATGATAAAACCCCTTCTCTGCTAAAAATACAAAAATTAGCCGGGCATGGTGGCGGGCGCCTGTAACCCCAGCTACTCTGGAGGCTGAGACAGGAGAATCGCTTGAACCTGGGAGGCGGAGGTTGCAGTCAGCTGAGATCGCACCATTGTGCTCCAGCCTGTGCAACAAGAGCGAAACTGCATCTCAAAAAAAAAGAAAGAAAGAAAATCCAGAGAAAAGGTATTCCAGGCAGATGGAACAGCCTGTGGAAAGGCCCTGGGGTGCAAATGAGTTTTGTGTGTTCAAGAGACAGAAAGAAAGGCAAGTGGCTGGAGCTTGATGGCCTGGGGGAGGGTGGCAGGAGATGAGACAAGGCCAGAGGCCACGTCACATAAGGCCTTAGAGGCTGAGATAAGGAGTTGGTTCGTTGCTTATGGTTTGTCTCCTAATTAAACTGTGAGCTCCATGAGGGCAGGGACCTAGTCTGTCTTATTCACCACTGGGTTCCTAGACGCTAGCCCAGTGCTTGGCACATGGCAGGCACTCAACTGAGCCAATAAATTCATGTGTCAGCACACTGCCTTCTACAATCTTGCTACATTCCCCATGTGGTTTTTGAGCATTTCTCATGCCTGGCCTTCCTGTCTTCCCCTTGGCGTCTCATTCATTCCAAGCCCTAGTTCTGAGAATGCATCCTAACCCTGTGAGGTCATCAACTCACAAAAGCTCAAGGGTCTACTTCCAGGAAGAGCTGCATTTTTTTTTTTAATTTAAAAAAAAATTTTTTTTTTGAAACCGAGTCTCGCTCTGTCGCCCAGGCTGGAGTGCCGTGGCGCGATCTCAGCTCACTGCAACCTCCACCCTCCTGGGTTCAAGTGATTCTCCTGCCTCAGCCTCCCAAGTAGCTGGGACTACAGGCGTGCGCTGCTATTCCTGGCTAATTTTTTGTATTTTTAGTAGAGACAGGGTTTCACCATGTTAGTCAAGCCGGTCTTGTATTCCTGACCTCAAGTGATTCGCCTGCCTCTGCCTCCCAAAATGCTGAGATTATAGGAGTAAGCCACCGAGCCCGGCCAAGAGCTTCATTTGAAGAGCACATTTCACAGGGGTCCTAAAAACTTTATGGCATCAAATGGTGGAGTTCCAGGCCCACGTGTCTGTGCTCACATGCATGTATATGCTTCGAGGTCCTAGTGCCCCCTCAGATCCATGCAAGAAAGCTGCCCTGACCCACCAGCTGTTAGGAAACTCGGTCACATCGATAATTCCTATGACTTGTCCTGCCCGTGCCCGAGGGAGTGAGAAGTTAATTAGCTTTGCTGGAAAGGGCCTGTGAAATGTCGGGAACTCTGTGGTCTGAGAACCGTCTAAACTCACTGTACAATTCTGCATTCCAGCCCCAGCCCGGGCTCACTCCACCAGATCTCACGCCTGCTCACGGCGTTACGTGGTATTTACAAACAGTGGACACTAGTGGGTCAGTGGGGGACAGGAACGGGGACGCCCCCGTGCTGCATCTGAGTTGTCCTAGAGTTAATTTAATGATGAAACAATCACCAGACATTCTCCTTTCTCTGGGGAGTGCAAATGGCTTTATAAACACCAGGCCTACGGCTAGTGAGGGAGGCAGAGGTAAACGGTTTACCTTGGATGGGAAGTGAGTGTTCAGTCCATTAAGGGGAGTCCAAGAGCAGAAGTTAATTGTCCCTCCAGGCCTGGAAGTTAATTCGGCCTTGAAAATAGTTCTCAAAATCCATTTGCCGACCACTTCAGCCCACACTGATCGCGTCCCACCAACTGCACTTGAACACATGTCTACTGGCCATTTGCTTGGTCCGACTGACTCAGAGACACTGGCCCAGGAAGTCTATGACCTAGGACTTCTCCACTTCTCAAAGTGGAGAACACAGGTCTTTGTCTGCAGCACAGGACAGGCAATAGGGTGAGGCAAGGGAGGCGTTGTCTCAGTCCCCAAAAACAACTCTGTAATTCAGAGAAAATATTTAGTGCAATATTTTTTAAAAATTAAGATCAGTGAAAAAAAATCCATGATGGACAAAATAGCAAAATGTAAAATATAGACAAGATCTTATCCTCAGTTGTCCAACTTCGACCTTTACCCACAATGACCTGGACCCTCACTCTCGTGACATTGATTTTTACTCTTGAAACCCTGCCCATCACTGGCCTCACCATAGTCCCAGCCTTGATACGAAGTTATTTTAGGTGGTGGTCCACCTGCGGACATTTTTTTATTTTAATAGTTAAGTTTTTTAAAAAAAATATGGACAAGCGATTCCAGTAGGGAATTCATTGTTGGGATATAACATTTTTCTTTTAAAAAATTAATTTCAGGGTGGGGGTGGTGGCTCATGCCTGTAATTCCATGCTTTGGGAGGTAGAGACAGGAGAATTGCTTGAGGCCAAGAGTTTGAAACCAGTCTGGGCAACACAGCAAGACTCCATCTCTACAAAAACTAAAAAATTAGCCAGGCCTGTTGGTGCACACCTGTAGTCCCAGCTACAGAGGCCGATGTGGGAAGATTGCTTCAGACTAGGAGTTCAAGGCTGAAGTGAGCTGTGATCATGCCACTGCACTCCTGCCTGGGTGACAAGAGTGAGACTCCATCTCAAAAAAATAAAATAAAAATTATATTTTATGACTGCATGGTTATAAAGATGCATATAAGCCAGACTCAATTATATCCACCTTTACATCAATGCCATCAAGGTATGCACCTTGCTTATTTTGAGCAGCAAAATATTTTCAGGGCCTCCAGCAAAGCTCATGTCCACAGGCAGTGTGGCTACTATGCCGAATGGAGAGGCTGGCCCTGCTGCACAAGGGACAGGCATTTATGTGTGTATGTATGTATGTATGTATGTATTTTGTGACGGAGTCTTGCTCTGTTGCCCAGGCTGGAGTGCAGTGGCACAATCTCGGCTCACTGCAACCTCTGCCTCCTGGGTTCAAGCGATTTTCCTGCCTCAGCCTCCTAAGTAGCTAGGACTACAGGCGCCCACCACCACAACTGGCTAATTTTTGTATTTTTAGTAGAGACGGGGTTTCACCATTGGCCAGGCTGGTTTCGCACTCCCGACCTTGTGATCCGCCTGCCTCGGCCTCCCAAAGTGCTGGGATTACAGGTGTGAGCCAGCCGGGGCAGGCACTTATATGCATAATCCTTTAATTTTCACAATGCCTCAGGCAGGCACCATTAACTCATATTATAAATGACAAAAAGGAGGCCCAGAGACCTTCAGCAAGTTGCCAAAGGTCACACAGCCAGTGAATAGCAAGGCAGATATTTGAACCCAGGTCTGATTCTGGAGTCTGCCCTTTCCGGGCCCCCACTCTCCCGCAGCAGCCCAGGAAGTGAGATAATCTGAAGAGTTGCCAACCCCTGAGTGATCCATCATGTCCCTTGGTAATGGAAATTGTGATTACGCTCAGGGCTGGTTCCCACGAGGCCCATAAGATGTCAGCGGTCTGCAGGAAGACCCCAGTATTCTGACCTTGTGGTCACCTGGGCTTGTGGGGGCTTCACCACACACTGAGGCTGGTTTCTAAAGAGTCTCTAGGTGTTTCAGCTGCCGCCCTCAGACGGCGAGATGTCCTCAGAGCCTCTGAGACACCGGGCACCGTCCTCCAAGTCTCAGACTCCAACAGAGCAGGTTGATGTTTGTTTCATGATTCTGTGTTCTTGAAAAGGACAAAGCAAAAAAGAGAGATAAAAAACTTTGGACGCAGACCAAAGCCGCTCAGGTTTTTAGCTCTGTGTCCCCTTGCAGGCTCCTCCGTGAGACAGGCCTGACAAGTGTCACCTGAACAAGGGGTCAAAGCCATTCCATTCCATGCATGCGGCACTGCAATTTTAAACAACTGTGGCTTGAGACAAAGATCCTCCCGAGAAAGCAAAATCCAACAGAGTTTGCAGTTTCCAGCTTCCGTGCTTCCTGAATTATACATGGGCAAAACCCCCTTGAAGGCTGCTTTTTAAGCCGTGAGGGGAAGGCGTGTAATTTTGGTCTCTAGCATTCTGCTGAAACACTTGCTGAGGACAAGGCCCCTTCCTCGCCAAGTGGCGTTTGCCTCCAAACCAAACAGGGGACTTTGACGCCTCAAATAGCTTCAAGCTGCCAGCAGAAAGGAGGCAAAGGGGACTGGCACTTCCTCTCTTTGCCAGTCTTGAATCCTGAGGGTTCAGAGAGACTGGGAAACTGGGTTCCTGTCCCTGCAGTGGCAGCTGTGACACAGGCCAGGGTGACATTCTTCCCCTTCCTGGCTGGAAAGAGGGAAAGTGCTGTAAACCTCTGGAAAGGGACAGGAGGCCAGGAGAAGCGGACTGAGCCAGGGCAGGCGAGGCACAGTAGGGTCCAGCTAGGGTGTAGGCAGCCCGGCCACCCTCTCCGAAAGACAACTGCTCCAGGTCCAGACTGCCCAGCAGTGGGACGCCAGGCACAACAGGGACAGTGACACTTCCCACTTCTATAATGGAGCAACTGGTCTTCAGGGCTCTGTAGCTGCAAAATGCTACCCACTGGGAGGGAGTTCTTGAGACTGTCTTCTCTCCCTGAGGTTTGCCTAAGGTTAGTGGGTGATGGCATTCAGAGGACCTGAGTTGGCTGGGGTCATTTGGCTCGGTGGTGGCTAAGGATGCGGACCCTGGTGACAGTCATGGCTGCTTTGTAACTTATTAGCCATGTGACTCTGAGACAGTTATTGTACCTCTTAGATCCTCGGTTTCCCCCTCTGTAGAATGGGCTGATTGCCCCCATTGAAATATCACAGAGTTTCTTGCACAGATAAAATCAATGCAGGCTGAGTGCCTGTAGCTCAGTAACTGAGCAGATTTTAAGCACTCAAAAAATGAGAGTCAATGGGAGCAGTGGCTCACACCTATAATCCCAGCACTTTGGGAGGCTGAGGAGAGAGGATTGCTTGAGCCCAGGAGTTCAAGACCAACTTGGGTAACATAGTGAGACCCCCATCTCTACAAAACACACACACATACACACACACACACACACACACACACACAGCTGGTCATGGTGGCATGTGCCCGTAGTCCCAGCTACTTGGGAGGCTGAGGTGGGAGAATCGCTTGAACCTGGGAGTTCCAGGCTGCAGTGAGCCGTGATTGTGCCACTGCACTCCAGCCTGGGTGACAGAGCCAGACCCTAACTCTAAAAAGCAAAACAAAATAAAAACAAAAACAAAAACAAAACAACAAAAAAGGAAGCTATCTTCATTATTTGGATCCTGTAGAGAAACAAATGCATAGAGCAGGTGTGTGTGCGTGTGTATGTGTTTGTGTGTGTATGTGTGTGTAAGAATGTCTTTGTGCACGTGTGAGTATGCATGTGTGCGTGCATGTATGCGTGCATGTGAGTATGCATATGTGTGCATGTGTGTGAGTATTCATGTGTGTACGAGTATTCATGTGTGTGTGCATGCGTGAGTATTCACGTATGTGTGAATATGCATGTGTGTATGTGTGTGAGTTGCATGCATGGGCATGTGTGTGAGTATGCATGTGTGTATTTGTGTGAGTATGCGTGCGTGTGTGAGTACGCATGTATGTGTGAGTATGCGTATGAGTATACATGTGTGTGAGTATGCATGCGTGTGTGTGAATATGCATGTGTGTATGTGTGTGAGTATGCATGCGTGTGTGCATGTGAGTATGCATGTATGTGTGGGAGTATGCATGTGGGAGTATGCATGTATGTGTGAGTATGCATATGTGTGTGTGCATGTGTGTGGGTATGCATGTGTGTGCATGTGAGTATGCGTGTGTGCATGTGTGTGAGTATGCATGTATGTGTGAGTATGCATGTGTGTGCGCGTGTGTGAGTGTGCATTGTGTGAGTATGCACATGTATGTATGTGTGTGGGTATGCATGTGTGAGTGTGTGAGTATGCATGTGTGTGCATGTGTGTGAGTATGCGTGTGTGTGCATATGCATGTGTGTATGTGTGTGAGTATGTGTGTGTGCGTGTATGTATGTATGTGTGAGTATGCATGTGTGTTTCCATGTGTGTATGTGTGTGTGCAGGCATATAAGTATGCGTGTGTGTATGCATGTGTGTGTGCATATGTGTGAGTATGCATATGTGTGTGAGTATGCATGGGTGTGTGCATGTGCATGAGTATGCGTGTGTGCATGTGTGTGAGTATGCATGTGTGTATGTGTGAGTATGCATGTGAGTATGCATGTGTGCATGCATGTGTGTGAGTATGCGTGTGTACGTGTGTGAGTATGCATGTGTGTATGTGTGTGAGTATGCATGTATGTGTATGCATGTGTGTGCATGTGTGTGAGTATGCATGTGTGTGTGTATGCCTGTGTGTATGTGTGTGAGTATGCATGTATGTGTATGAATGTGTGTGCGTGTGTGTGAGTATGCATTGTGTGTGTATGCGTGTGTGTATGTGTGTGAGTATGCGTGTGTGTATGTGTGTGAGTATGCGTGTGTGTATGTGTGTGAGTATGCAGTGTGTGGGTGCATGTGTGCACACTCAAACCAAAAGGTCAGGGGAAAAGCATTCTCCCCACTAGAAGCTGGAACCTGAGGAGGGCAAATGCTTCATTATTTAGATTCGAAAGCTACTCATTAGGCAAGACTAGAGCACTTAGGAAGAAAAGCTGACCTACCAGTGTAAAATGTTATTATAAGTAATGACAATGATTATAGGATGAGGGTGTGAGCTGAAAGAGGGAAAGCTGGAGAGGTTAATGTCCATTAACTACCGAGAATTAGGATATTGGCTTCTGCAGACACCTCTGGCTAAGCCCAACGGTCTGTTTATTTACCTCGTAGGAAGCTCTTAGCACATCAAAAAGGTATTTCAAACACAACCCTCACCCCCAACAATTAGCTTTGGGAAGAAGAGTAAATATGGATGCAATTTATCACTCTGAGGGCCCTACTATCGGAGACAGGTGCCTGTCAGTGAAATAAAACAGACCCCAAGCCCCGCCAGGAAGATCAACCCAGAAGCAATTTGCTAATTTGCTGATCATGGGTGGACAGTCGTTGCTCAAGGGCTTTGGTGACACACAAACAATTCATATCTTTCTGCTAATTCTCATAATCTGAGTCAAATGTTTCCTTTTGGAACCAGTGGGGGAAATAATGACTCAGGAGTGGGTTGAGTCAATTTCACTAGCTTTGCTTTGTCCCCCTTTAACTTAGAAATGTAATTAGAAAGAAATGGAATACTGTTGGCAAAGAGCCATGGGAGAGGGACGTGATTGGAGGGGACCATCCATCCCAGTTGGCCCTGGACCGAGGGGTTTTCTGCAATGTAGGACTCTCTGTGCTAGGTCTGGGACAGTCCTGGGCGAGTGGGGACGGTTGGTCAGTCACCCTACCTATTCCCCCTTTCCCATGGCCCCATGCAGGTGTTGGGCAATCCCAGCCGGGAGTAACAGTGGGTAAAAGTTGGCTTGTAGTTGCCTTTAAGAAATTCTGGGCTGGGCACAGTGGCTCATGCCTGTAACCTCAGCACTTTGGGAGGCCAAGGTGGGAAGATCGCTTGAGGCCAGGAGTTTGAGACCAGCCTGGCCAACATGGTGAAACCCCATCTTTACTAAAAATAAAAAAATTAGCTGGGCGTGGTGGTGCATGCCTGTAGTCCCCTACTCGAGAGTTGAGGTTAGGAGGATTGCTTCTGCCCAGGAGGTCACAGCAGTGAGCTGTGATCATGCCACAGCACTCCAGCCTGGGCAACGGAGCAAGACCCTGTCTCAAAAGAAAAAAAGAAATTCTACCTCCTCCCATATGGCAAAACAGACTGTGAACCCATTAGCAACAGGAATGTGATGTCGCGTGGGGCCTGAGTGGGAGTAGCAGACACCAAGGGAACAAGTCCAGAGAGACTTCTGATAGGCGAGTGCGCGAGGGTCCGAGAGCTGATCTTATACTGATGACTTTACCTTCCCAGGGAACTCTTGATGGGAAACGGCAGGACCCTGTGACATTCTGCAGATTCTGAAATTTCTGTCCCCTCCTCCATCTATATCTGAGCGTGTTACAGAAACCAGGGCAATAATGCACACTTTATTCGCGAGATGCACATAATTCTACCATTTCAGCTGGTTCCACTGCTTCTGAGATTTTGTATATAAATATCTATGCGTGTGCGTTTGTGTGTACATTTCTTGACATATTTACGAAGCCCCAGTTTGCCAACCTTCAGGGCATAATGCAAGAACTATTTTTCATCCTAATCTGCTGTAATGACATGTTTTATTATACTATTTCAGCTGTTTCCATTGCTTTCGCTGTTTCATGTTTTATGTATTTTAACTAATGCTTTAATTTTAGTACGTTGTGCCCTAAGGTGACTTCACAAGGCTTACTTTGGAAGATCGACGGGGATTCACAGCAATGGCAATTGAAGGCTCTACCCACACCCAGCACGACGCAGATGTGGAGATGGGAACGGAGGGCAGGGTGGGAAGGCTGGCAGCTTAGGACCTGGCGTTTGTAACACCGAGATGTACAGTCACCCTAGGTTTGCTCAGGGCTTTAGCCCAGTTTTAGCCCTGAAAGCCCAGCGTCTCAGAACCTGCTCAGCTGTGGACAGACCAGGGTGGTTGGTCACCCTACCAAGATGACGGGCTTGATTTCGATATTTGGTTAGGCTGCTTCTTAGGAGGTAGGAGGTGTCTGTCTCAGTGTACCAAAGAAAGGGCCTGAGGTTTGGAGTCCCCTCCTCTTAGTTTCAAGCCCAAGCTCTGCCGACACTGTAATAGTCATTTGAATCTGATGAAGTCACTTTAAGCCTCCGTTTCTACATCTGGAAAATGGGGCTGGGAAAGCATCTCCTGGAGACCTGCTGTCAGGGATAGAGGGAGCGGTCCATGTTCTCTGCCTGGCACTTAGGGAGTGGTTGAGGTGGCGGTGCTTCACTAACCAGCTGTGGGGTCTTGGCCTGATCATTCCTCTTCTCAGGGGTTCCCATTCCCTTTTCTCCTACCTAATAATGGAGGAGTCAGACAGGATCCTTTTATTTTTTTAGAGATAGGGTCTCGCTCTGTCGCCCAGGCTAGAGTGCAGTGATGCAATCATAGCTCACTGCAGCTTCGAACTCCTGGGTTGAAGGATCAGCTAATTAAAAAAAATATTTTTTGAGACAGACAGGGTCTCACTCTGTTGCCTAGGCTGGTTGTGAACTCCTGGTCTCAAGAGATCCTCTTTCCTCAGCCTCTCAAAATGCTGGGATTACAGGCAGGAGTCACTGTGCCCGACCCCCAGACCGGATACTTTTGAAGTGCTCAAAGTCCACATCCTGAGGCAAAGTGAAGGGCAGAGGCCACCACCTAGACCTTCCAGACTTAAGCATCAAGGAGTCCCCTTAGCCTGTTTACACCCTTCGGCAATGGGGGCAGAGGAGCACAAGAGGAAAAATAGTAATAATAATAGTGGTCGTAATAATAATAGCTTCTGTTTCCAGAGAGCTTATTGCGTGCCAGGCAAGCCCTGTGTTAAGCATTACTCTTTACCTTCCCATTTGATCCCTTCCACAGGACACATGGGAATAAGTGAGAGGATAACACCCATTTTGCAGAGGAGGAGATGGATATTCAGAGAGGTGAATATATATATTTTTTGACATGGTGTCTTGCTCTGTTGCCCAGGGTGTAGTGCAGTGGCACAGTCTTAGCTCACTGCAACCTCTGCCTCCTGGGTTCAAGTCATTCTCCTGCCTCAGCCTCTCAAGTAGCTGGGATTACAGGCACCTGTCACATCCCCGGGTAACTTTTGTATTTTAGTAGAGACAGGGTTTCGCCATGTTGGCCAGGCTGGTCTCGAACTCCTGACCTCAAGAGATCTGCCCGCCTCAGCCTCCCAAAATGTTGGGATTACAGGCGTGAGCCACCACGCCTGGACTGAAGACGTTTCTTGAAGACCACATAACAAGAAAGTGGTCAAGCAGGCATGTGACATTCGTGACTCCAACGTTCACCACGATATCCTGCAGCCATCTTGTCTGGAACATCCCTGTCTGTTCCCAGCCCATGGTAGTAAATGGGGCGGCACTCAGTCTTTCATACCTGCTTGTCTCCTTCCTCATTTTCCCTCCAACACACCAGACTCTGGGTCCTCCTGCCTCTTTTGGGTCTTAAGCAGAAATGTCATTTCTTTCTTCCTTTTTTTTTTTTTCCTTTTGTGAGATGGAGTTTCACTCTTGTTGCCCAGGCTGGAGTGCAATAGTGTGATCTTGGCTCATCGCAACCTCCGCCTACCGGGTTCAAGCTGTTCTCCTGCCTCAGCCACCTGAGTAGCTGGGATTACAGGCATGTGCCACCACGCTCGTCTAATTGTGTATTTTTAGTAGAGATGGGGGTTTTCCATGTTGGTCAGTCTGATCTTGAACTCCTAACCTCAGGTGATCCACCCACCTTGGCCTCCCAAAGTGCTGGGATTACAGGCGTAAGCCACCGTGCCTGGCCCATTTCTTTCTTTTTAATCCCCATGCCCTCTCTTTGAAAACCTCCTCTTCACACTGCAAAGTCCAGCTCCTCTGTGTCCAAGACGATATCCTCTTAGACTCCTACTAGTGGCTTATTTGCTGATTCAGCATTGGGTCTTCCCTGTCCCTGACATAACATGACGGGAAGTCAGTGGAAAGTTTTTTGGTCAGAAAAGCCCCAGCTGTCTCACTCATGTGCCCTGGATGGCCATTGGCCATCCTGTTTCAGATCCTGGAGATGTGCTACCACACACCACTGTGTTTCATTCTCACTGGACACCAGGAGGCAGGCACTGGGAAGAAGACACCATCATTCCTACTTCTAGAACTGGCTAAGAAAATTGCACTTTTTTTCTGTCCAGGCGTGGCGACTCACACCTTTAATCCCAGCACTTTGGGAGGCCAAAATGGGTGGATCTCTTGAGATTAGGAGTTCAAGACCAGCCTGGCCAACATGGTGATACCCCGTCTCTACTAATAATATAAAAAGTAGCCGGGCATGGTGGCAGGCGCCCGTAGTCCCAGCTACTCGGGAGGCTGAGGCATGAGAATCATTAGAACCCAAGAGGCAGAGGTTGCAGTGAACCAAGATCATGCCACTGCATTCCAGCCTGGGTGACAGAGTGAAACTGTCAAAAAGAAAGAAAGAGAGAGAGAGAGAGACAGAGAGAGAGAGAGAGAAAGAGAGAAAGAGAGAAAGAAAGAAAGAAGAAAGAAAGAAAAGAAAAGAAAAGAAAAGAAAAGAAAAGAAAAGAAAAGAAAAGAAAAGAAAAGAAAGAAAGGAAAAAGAAAATTACAGCCCATGGGCTGGCTGTTTTTGTCAATAAAGTTTTATTGGAAACAGCCATGTGCATTCATTTATGGTAATCCATGGCTATTTCCACACTACAGCAAGAAAGTTGAATAGTTGCCACAGAGACTGTAATGCCTCGCAAAGATATTTACTATTTGGCCCTTTGCAGAAAAAGTGTACCAACCCCTGTAAATCAAGACGAAGAGCGGAGGTTCAGAGGAGCTTCAGCAACCTGCCCTAGTTTTCTCAGTGAGCCAAGGAAGGCCTGGGGCTCAAATCTGAAACCCCAGATCTTAGGGCAGGTTTCTACGCCCTGGACTCCATCCTTGCTTTCTCCCAGGGCTCCCTTTCTACGCCCCAAACTCCATCCTTGCTTTCTCCCAGGGCTGCCTTCCACGGAGGTTCCCGGTGCTCTGCATTACACCCCACAGGTGGCTCTTGCCTGGCTTTGGGGGGCTCAGGGCAGCAGCCAGCTGGAGACTTCAAGTACAGGCACTTAAGGCACGGTGGGACCAGAGAAAAGAAAGTTGGCTGGAGAAGTTTTGTTTATTTGTTTGTTTTCATTTTTTGAAGGCTGGAAGTGCATTTGCTAAAGAACCTCACTTCTACCGATCTCATTTTCCACGCACTTACAAACGGACCAGAGGTTGCAAAAGTGAGTCTCTCCTCGCTTCTACCGATCTCATTTTCCACGCACTTACAAACGGACCAGTGGTTGCAAAAGTGAGTCTCTCCTCGCTGAACTGCTCTGTTGTTTCCAGTTTCTGAGGGGCCATCTCGGGCAAGGCTTGGATGGGGCAGGGCCTTCTCTAGGTCTTGGGACCGCCCCTCATTGCAGGAGACAAAACTTCCCACATCCCACATCCAGGCTTCTCTGATGTCCCCTCCCCCGCACCCAACCCGCACCCATCTTCCCTGTTTCAACCCTCCAACTCCCCTCTCCCCAGCATCTCCAGGGGTCTGCGTTCTCCTTCCCAGCCCTGGGAGCTTTATTTCAAGCTGAGATACAATGACACATCATGTTCCTTTTCTCTTTCCTTCTTCTTTTTAATAAAGCTGTTTTGTGTCTCCACACCACCCCCCTTCTGCATTCCTTGCATCTTAGTCTTCCCGTCCCCCTCCTGTAGGAAATGTCTAGGATTCTCTCACTGGGGTGTAATGGTTAAATTGCTACCAGCTGATTAAACAGCAGCAGTCGAAGCTGTAATCCTCAGCGTTCAGGAACCTGGGAAGGCAGGGACGAGTGCCCTGACCGCTTAGCCCCTGCTGACCCCCCTGCCAGGCGCCCGCCCAGTTTCACCCCTTTCATTTGTCCCGGGTTGCTTAATAGAATCTGCTGGGAAGGGGCGAGGGGCTGAGAAGGAAGAGGAAGGAGGAGGGAAGAGGGAACAGGCAAGAGGGGAGGAGGAGAGGGTCCCTCCACCAGCTCTGGTTCAACCTCCAAGGAATGTTGCTCCCACCCCTGTCCCTTTCCTGCCCCCCTGTAAAACCACACACACACACACACACACACTCTCACACACGCACATACTCACATTAGCGTACACACTCACATGTTCACACACTTACAGATACTTGCATATACTCACAGCCACACACACACACCCACATGCTCCCTTGTTCATACACACAGCCACGCACACACTTTCTCAAACTCATACATACAGACACACATACACACTCATGCTCACACACAGTCACATATGCATAAACGCATGATCACACACACACAGCCACACACATTCACACACTTTGATACCCCCCAGAGCCAGTCTCTTTCTCATTCTCTGCAGAATGAAGACCACATGAAGGAGAAATCCCACCTGCCCTGCTGCTCCTCCTGGGAAAGCTTCCTCCCCGCACCTGCCCCCCATATAGGGAAGGGTCAGAAAGATGGGAACTGTGAGATCAGAGACCGGTCTGGGAAGCGGGAAAGTGCAGGCTTTGGGTGCAGGCAGCCAGCTGCAGGATCCTGGAGTCAGGACTTCCTTTCTTCCTGCCTCTCTGAGGATCGAGTGGGAAAAACACCCAGCCCAGTCAGGCAGGCACAAAACATGTGTTACCTCGATGATCTGTGCTGGGTGCTGGGGTGCAGTGCAGCTGGCATAGCCTTCTGCACCCTTGAAAGCAACGTGTCCCTTGGGCTCCTTGATGGACACTTCCCACCCTTGGCTCTTCACCTGCAAACTGACCTGTGACCATCATATGAGACCCTGGGTGTGCAAAGGTGTGGCCACAACTTAGCACATGCCAGGGTCCCACGACGATGGTTTTCCTGTATGATTAACGTTGCTGTCGATTCAGGCTCTGGACTAAGAATAGCAGGGGGCAGCCAGCCTCCTTGGGAAAGTTTATTTCCGTGGAAAGTATAGTTCAGATGAGTGAGGATCTGGCCTCGATTCATCCTCCCTCCCTCACACTTAGTCAGAAACCAGGGAAGGGCCTACTGGATGGAGGGGGAATTGGCTCACAAGCACTGGAAGTTTGCCACTGCTCCAAGTACGCTGCTCTCTGAAGCAACCTTTCTCTTTCCCCTGGGAGAAAAAAGCCTCCAAGCAGGGTGTAGGAGAGGGCAGAGGGAATGGCTGCCGAGGGCCCTAGGCCAGCCTTATTTCTGTGCAGCGGGTTGAATGGTGTCTCCCATTCATGTCCACCTGGAAACTCAGAATGTGACCTTTTTTGGAAACAGGGTCTTTGCAAATATCATTCAGGTAAGAATGAAGATGACATCATACTGGGTTAAGGTGAGCCTTTTTCTTTTCTTTTCTTTTCTTTTCTTTCTTCTTTCTTTCTTTTTTTTTTTTTTTGAAACAGAGTCTCACTCTGTCACCCAGGCTGGAGTGCAGTGGCGTGATCTCGACTCACTGCAACCTCCGTTTACCAGGTTCAAGTGATTCTCCTGCCTTAGCCTCCAGAGTAGCTGGGATTACAGGTGCCCACCACCACGCCCAGCTAATTTTTGTATTTTTAGTAGAGATGGGGTTTCACCATGTTGGCCAGGCTGGTCTTGAACTCCTGGCCTCAAGCGATCCTCTGGCCTCAGCCTCCCAAAATGCTGGGATTACAGGAATGAGCCACCATGCCCAGACCAAGGCGAGCCTTAAATCCAGTGTGAGTGTCCTAAAGAAAGCTAGAGAAGGACCTAGAGACTGTGAGGATAGAGGTCGACATTGGAGTGATGCAGCCGCGAGCTAAGGAACTCCAGGAGCCACCAGAAGCTGGAAGGATACTGGAAGTGACATTTTGATTTTGGACTTCTGGCCTCCAGAACTGGGAGAGTAACACATTTCTGTTGTTTTCAGCCATGCAGTGTGCGGTAATTTGTTACAGTAGCCACAAGAAACTAATATGCTTTGCAAAGCATGTGTCAATGATCCCATTTTACAGATAGGAAAACCAAGGCACAGCGAGGGAAAATTTGCCTAAAAATCACACAGTTGGTTGGAAGTGAAGCCAGGATTCCAGCCCAGGTCTGTGTGATTCCAGCACCTGGACCCTGGACCACCGAGTTCACAGAGAAGGGACATTTCTGCAGGGGAGAGCTGTGGTCAAAGAGAGGAATAAAGGCAAGTGTTGGCTTCCTCAGAAAGCGGCAAACAGACCGGCAAGGAAGCTGTGGCAAGGGGTCTGGGAGATGGGACCCACTGTCTCAGACATCTTCCCCTAGGCTTAGAGTCCACATCAGGGAAGGGTTGCTGAGAATTCCACTGGAGTGTCTCCCAACCCCTCCCCCACCCCTCAATCTGGAGAGCCAGGTGGTTATGAGACAAAGAAGCAAAGGACCTCTGGTCACAGCTGACCAGAACATTCTTCCTGTCTGGGAGCTGCCCTGATCTTGCAGTGGGCAGTGAGCTACTACACCTGCCCTCTGGGAGGCTGAGTATTTACCTAGAGGCACTGCTGGGGCTGCCGGCCTGGGAGCAAAATTTAAGGAGGCACTTGTTCTCAGGGCCATGCATGATGTTCAGGGTCGTGACTTGCGTGAACCTGAGAATGAGCGCCTCCTTAAAAATTGCACCTGGTTTGCCTGGCCCTATTCCTGGCCCCACCCCAGGGGTAATTTATCAGAGGAACAGAGGGTATTTGGGGTCCATTGGCAGCTGGTAGGTGCAGAGTCACACAGACCTGGGCTTGAATACTGACTTCAGTCACTTAATAGCTGGGTGACCATGTATGGGTCTATTCTTTTACTTGAGCTCAGTTTTCTCATCTATAAAATGGGGATTATAGAATAAAACTGACCTCATAGGTGGTTGTGGGATTAAATGAAGAGTGTCCACATAAAGTACCCGGCACTCAGTAATGTTAGCTTATTATTATCTTTTTTTTTTTTTTGGCAGCTTAGAAAGAGGAAGTTCGTGGGTTGCAAAGTGAGTAATGGCTGCATCTGGGAGCTGATCAAAGGTGGCCAGCCAAGTTGAGTAGCCAGTTCGGTGTATGAGACTTAACAACACTGGTAATTTCTTTCTTTTCTTTTTCTTTTTCTTTTTTTTTTTTTTTTTTTTTTTGAGGCACTCTGTTGCCCAGGCTGGAGTGCGGTGGCGTGATCTTGGCTCACTGCAATGTCTGCCTCCCAGGTTCAAGCGATTCTCCTGCTTCCGCCTCCTAAGTAGCTGGAACTACAGGCACACGCCACCAGGCCCAGCTAATTTTTGTATTTTTTAGTACAGACAGAATTTCACCATGTTAGCCAGGCTGGTCTCGAACTCCTGACCTCAGGTGACCCACCCGCCTCAGCCTCCAAAGGTGCTGGGACTGCGCCTGGCCAACACTGGAAATTTCTTGTTTAAGAAAATTCCAAGCTCATACTGGGAGGGCGAGGCCAGGACATGAGGCTGCAGTGGACATCCATAGCTGCAGGGAGCCTCACTCGCTAGGCTCTTCCACATGTGTGAAGCCATCACATTCCTCTAGGCACCGCCCAGGACATCTCCTGCTGGAGGAGCGTTAGAGAGTGTCCCGGCTCCCCCTAGATCCACCTCTGACCATCTGATCTGGTTACTTCCTAACGTCCTGTTTGTTTTCCTCTAAACCAGAGAGAACGTTGAGCTGGGTCATTGGCGATAAGGGCAGGTTGGGTTGAGCAACCGAATCTGTTCCTTATCCAAGCAACAGATCTTTTCTAAAGTTCAGCTCTGGTCGGATCCACTGCCCACGAAGCGGTTCATACAGCCACCACCATCAGTTCATGATTCTCCACGCCAACAACAGCATGTGCTTCACTAGCCTCCACAAATGCTGACAGGTGAAGGCAGACTGTTCCTTGGAGCAGTTGACCTGGGTTTATTTTATTTTATTTTATTCATTTTATTTTATTTTATTTTATTGAGACAGAGCCTCAATCTGTTGCCCAGGCTGGAGTGCAGTGGCCGGATCTCAGCTCCCTGAAAACTCCGCCTCCAGGGTTCAAATGATTCTTGTGCCTCAGTCTCCTGAGTAGCTGAGATTACATGTACATGCCACCATGCCCATCTAATTTTTGTATTTTTAGTAGAGATGGGATTTCACCATGTTGGCCACGCTGGTCTTGAACTCCTGGCCTCAGGTGATCTGCCCGCCTCAGCCTCCCCAAGCGTTGGGATTACAGGCATGAACCATGGCACCCAGCCTTATTTTATTTTTTGAGATGGAGTCTCACTCTATTGCCCAGGTTGGAGCGCAGTGGCACAATCTTGGCTCACTGAAGCCTCCGCCTCCCGGGTTCAGGTGATTCTCTTTCCTCAGCCTCCCAAGTAGGTGCGGTTACAGGCATGTGCCACCACGCCTGGCTAATTTTTGTATGTTTAGTGGAGACGGGGTTTCACCATATTGGCCAGGCTGGTCTTGAACTCCTGACCTCAGGTGATTCGCTCACCTTGGCCTCCCAAGGAGCTGGGATTACAGGCATGAGCCACCACACCCGGCCCACTTGACCTGCTTTGACTTTTTAAGCCCATTGATTTGCTCTCCTGTCCCTTGTTCCCACCCTAGAGAGAGAGGCATGCATCCAATGTTCCTATTTCCGGACTTTTTTTTTTTTTTTTAAGGGCTGGGCTGCCATCTGCCCAAGTCAACACCCACCTAATTTTCCGGCGTAAACTGCAGCCCTCGTTTGCTTCCTCGAGCTTGGCCTGAACCCAGCACCTTAATCTGTACCTTGGCCAGGCTCCCAATGCAGATGCAATGTGTACGCTTCCCCATTAGCACAATTATCACATCACTAATGAGGGCTGCCACCATTTATTGAGCTGTTACTATATGCCAGGCTCTGTGCTAAAAGTTTTCCCCAGATCATCTCATTTAGAACTGGCATTAACCCGACGAGCAGATGATTATTTTATGAATGAGCACACTGAAGCAGAGAAATGGGAGTGCTTGACCAAGGTCACCCGTTTGGGGAAGCAGGGCGAGTACAGGTCAGTTCCACTGCACACTGCAGGCCCTGAACCTCCCAATCAACTATACTGTTCTTTAGTTACCTGCAAATTCATCCCCTCTACCGCTAAACCTGGCTCCCTATGTCTCCTAGGGTATTGGATTTTTGAGAACAGGAAGGCACAACTATTATTTTAAAGAAATTATATGAACTGGTGGGGCGTGGTGGCTCACTCCTGTAATCCCAGCACTTTGGGAGGCCAAGCTGGGAGGATCACGTCAGCCTAGGAGTTCAAGACCAGCCTGGGTAACATAGGGAGACCTTGTCTCTACAAAAGAATTAAAAAGATAGCCAGGCGTGGTAGCATGCACCTGTAATTCCAGCTCCTCATGAGGTGGGAGGATCACTTCAGCCTGGGAAGTTGAGGTTGCAGTGAGCCATGATCACACCACTGCACTCCAGCCTGGGTGACAGAGCAAGACCCTGTCTCAAAAAAGAGGAAAAGAAAAGAAAAGAAAAGAAATTGTATGGGCTGGGCGTGGTGACTCACGCCTGTAATCCCAGCACTTTGGGAGGCCGAGGTGGGCGGATCACTGGAGGCCAGGAGTTGGAGATCAGCCTGGCCAACATGATGAAACTCCGTCAATACAAAAAATACAAAAATTAGCTGGGTGTGGTGGTGTGTGTCTGTAATCCCAGCTACTCGGGAGGCTGAGGCAGGAGAATCGCTTGAACCTGGGAGACAGAGGTTGCAGTGAGCAAAATGGTGCCACTGCACTCCAGCCTGGACAACAGAGTGAGACTGTCTCGAAAAAAAATAAAAAATTATATAAACTTACAATTAAATAGATACATTGAATTGAAAGATAAAAGTAATAACACTAAAACTCCTCACTTCTTAATTTACTATGTTCTCCCATTACCTATGCTCTTAAGATTATGATATCTGTTTGGTGAAAATTCTCTACAGTGTCTGCTCCTGTGCCTGTCTTCCCAACTCTGTGTTCAGTGACCTCCCCTTGGGAGTTTGAGATTGACTTTGGTGGGAGTATTTACACCATAGAAATGGGCAAATGCTATATACCAGGGTTTTCCTCCAGAGAACTAGTTATTAAACATTGACCAGCACCACTGATCACAACATTTGTGGTAGGTATTATAAGCCCTTTTAACACAGAAGCGACTGAGGCTTAGGAATGCTAAGTGATTTGGCCGAGATCAATGGCTAGGCAGTGGTGGAGCCAGAATTCGATTCCAGGTCATGTCATCTCTACTGCGTGGATATACCTTCGCGATTGCTGAAGAAGGAAAAATAAAACAGAAGCTCACTCCTTTCCAACCTACTCCCACCCCAGATGCTGCCTTGTGTCTGATTAGTAGAAGCAGAAGGTTGTTGGAGTTGGTTCCAATAGAAGAGTAGTAAGTCCTTGGCCTGGAAAGGAGGGAGTGAGACAAGAAGATGACAAGTTAAAGTTTTAAACAGACTGAAATCTCATTCCACTCACTTGAGCATTCAAGAGCTAGTGCTAAGTTGGCCAATTAAGAGTAATTTCATCTCTAGCGCCTCTTCGAGAGTTATTTAAATAAGACTTTAGAATTAATCTTTCATTTATCCCAAGAATGAAACGCCATTCCTACCCTCCACCCTCCCGCCACACACACACACACACACACACACACACACACACAAATGGAGCCACTCTTTTCAAAAGGATGAAGTGTGGTGTTAAATTAACCTTATTCATCCCACACCTGAGCTGCGGTTCTTCCTGAACTGTGTGGACCTAGCGTTAAGTTGTTGCTTCTTTCAGCTCCACGAGTATTTTTAAGTAGATTCAAAGTCCCTCTTGTGAATGAATCATGAACTCAGCAAACGTCAGAAGAGCCTAAAACTCATCAATTGGTAAATATCATTTGTGCAGTGTTTAAGAGGGCAGATAACTTGCCTCCTCATACAACCCTCATGCAGATGAGAAGTAGGTAATTAAGTCCATCTTAGCCATCTCCTCCCAACTCCTTTATTCTTCCTCGTGAGGATCTGCAGTCTCAGTCTTTGATCTTTCTTTGCTCTGTCCTGAAGTTTCCCCGGCCATGGAAGGAGTCTTGAGCAGAGTGTGAGAATGGCCAGGTGGCGGAAGTGTCTGAGAAGATCCTGCATCGATCCAGAAGCAGTGGGATAAGGAAGGAGCACTGGATGGAAGTCAGGTGTCCTGGGGCCCAGCGCTGGCCCTGCCACACATGGTGTGAGCGCTGAACCCCTGTCCACCTAGCAAAGGTCACATGATGTCCTGGACCCCTGTCCTGTCCTGGACCCATGTCCTGTCCTGGACCCATGTCCTGTCCTGGACCCCCTGTCCACCCAGCAAAGGTCACATGATGTCCTGGACACCTGTCCTGTCCTGGACCCCTGTCCACCCAGCAAAGGTTACATGATGCTGTCTGTAAGCTTCTTTTTATGGTTCTGATATCCAAAGCCACTTAATAGCGTGGAACTTCCACTTCTCCAGTTTAAAAGGTTAAATATGTATATCAGGCTGGCTGGGCTCAGTGGCTCACGTCTATAGTCCCAGCTACTGGGGAGGCTGAGGTGGGAGGATCACTTAAGCCTGGGAGGCGGAGGTTGCAGTAAGCCAAGATGGTGCCACTGCACTCCAGCCTGGGTGACAGCGAGCCCCTGTCTCAAAAACTGTATATGTATATAAGGGCCTACATTTTTGGTTAGGGAGAGAAAGAGAATGAATAAGAAGCTGGTTCTTGTATCTTGAGTCATTACAAACTCCTCTCTCTCCCCCTGCCTGAGGCGTCCTCCTTCTTCATTCTCTATTCAGTTTGCAAGGCTGTTATTCCTGCCAAATGAGTCATTGATGTGGGAAAGTTAATTTATTTTGGCAGACATCACCATTGCTCCGAGAAATAGAGACTATGCACCCACTGTCGCAGAAGACACAAATTATCGTGGTGATTCATTCATTCCTCCCTGCATTCATTCATTCCCAGAATACGTGATTGTTTCTGGAACATACACAAATGGGCAACCCTACCTGTTGTTTTCTGTCTCAGAGAGTAGATGTGAGAATTAAATGAGGTAATATGTAAAAGTGCTTATATAATAATAATAATAACTAATCCTGATTGAGCACGTATTACGTGTCAAGCTGCGTGGTAAGCCTTTTACCTGCTTTATTTATTGTCTTTGATCCTAACACTGCTCTGCAGGGCAGGGATAATGAGTACTTTATTTCAGAGATTCAGAGATTGAAGCTAGGGCAGGTCAAGGTGACCTGGCCACAAGTCATTAAACAGTGCACAAGTGGCAGAGGGAAGCCAGCCCTGAGTCTGGACTTGAAAATATTGCATCATGACCCATATTTATAAGGTATTGATCACAAGGCAGGCATTGGACTTAGAACTTGCTTCTTCTCTCCCATCTTACTCACTTGTCACACAAAACACCTGTGACGTGAGTGCTGTGATTAGCATCTCTATTTTCCAGCTGAGCAAACTGAGATTTGGAGAAGGGAGACAAGTTGCCCAAGGAGTCTCAATTACTGCAGAGCAGAGCTGGGTGCAGGGACAGGAGTCTGGGCTCAGAGGACACTCTGTCTTCACTGTGAGCAGAGAGAGCAGAGAGCTGGCACTTGGGATGTGGGTGTGCCATTTTTGTTAGCCACACTTACCATGAGCACCATGGTCACTCTCTCCAGGGTGCACACATGGTCCCAGGCAATAGATCCTGTGACAGAGACAATGCTGTGGGTTCACCAAATCTTATATTCAGGCTCTGAGACACACAAAGGGGCCCCGGCAATTGCTGAGCGCTGACTAATGGAATGTGGGAGTAAGTGATGAAGGTCACTTCCAGGTTGAGCCTTAAAAAAAACAAAATCCTGTGATCCTATATCTGCTGGCCAGACACAGCAGAGAGTCCCTTGGAAGATCCTGAGATCTTGAAGGACAATGAAACTATCAAATGGAGGATGCCTGGATCCCTGAGTGACTGCATGGAGCAAAGCTCTTTCCAACCTCCCAATTGAGCTGTATTGGACTGTGGTTTGGACCTCAACCTTTACTGGGGTACTCACTGAGATGGGGTTGTTTTTACAGCAGTTAGCTACCTTTACTCATACAGATGTTTTAAGAAGTGTATTGGTGCAATCCTAGCTCACTGCTGACTTGAACTCCCGGGCTCAAGTAATCCTCCCACCTTAGCCTCCTGAGTAGCTGGGACTACAGGTGGCAGCTATAAGAAGTGGTTTTTTTTTTTACATAATCATATTTTGGTCTCGAGTTGCCTTGGGAAAGGGCTTGCCTCCACCAGAACTCAAGCTTCATGAAGGTCTATTCCCTTGCTTTGGGTGCAGGGCCTGGCACACCATAGGTCCTCAGTAAATATTTGTGGAAGTGACTGAATGAACCTCTCATCTCAGAGGTCCTTTGCCCACAAGGACACTTCCTGGATGATGATGGGAAGAAGGTCTTATTCACGTGACTCAGTCCTTCATCCTCTCCCAACTCACTCCAGCTCGCTTTGCATATCTCCAGTATGGATCTGGGGGGACAACCCTAGCAGTAACATCAGGAACCTGCCTGTCAAACAGATGCCACTCTACAAATATCACGCTGACTTCACATCATCCCAATTGGCTGTAAAATCTGGGAAAAGCCAGGCAGAGTGGGCTCCGAGCTGCTCACACCACATTTAGATGTTTACAGAAAACCAATGCACAAGGATTTGCTCGAAAGCTAAATTTCCTCTTAGCCAAAGCCCAGAAATACCTTTTAAACCCTGAGCAAATAAGCCAGAGGAGAAGGCATTTTCCCTTTGACTGAGCCTTCAGAGCCTGGAGATCTTCAACTTTTCAAAGAATCAAGCTTGCTGCAAAAGACAGACTTCATGGGGATGGGACTCCCTCGCTGGCCACAACAGAGAGACTTTGCAGATTTGCCCTTTCGCCCCAGACCAGATGGCAAAAACAGCCACAAGCCCCAGGCCTGACTTCAGACTGCAAATAGAAACAGCCCCGGAATGCACGTCTAGGTCCACTCAGAGAGAGAACGCTGGCTCAAAATAAAATAAAAATGAGCAATTGTTTTAGAAAACTAACCAAACAAACAAAACCCTCTCCTGGTGGAGTGCTGAGCTGAGCGTGATGTACTCTGAATACAAATTTGCTATAACCAGCACTGACATTGACAATACTGGCTGTCATTTATTGAGCACTTACTATGTGCCAAGCGATGGCTTTACACAGGAACCCCATGGAATCCTTAAACAACAACCTTCTGAGACTGGCATTTTATTATTTCTCTTTTATAGATTCAGAAATGGAGGTGAAGAGAGGGTAAGAAACAAATTCAGGGCCGGGCATGGTGGCTCATGCCTGTAATCCCAGCACTTTAGGAGGCCGAGGCGGGTGGATCACTTGAGGTCAGGAGTTTGAGACCAGCCTGGTCAACACGGTGAAACCCTGTCTCTACTAAAAATACAAAAATTAGCTGGACATGGTGGTGCATGCCTGTAGTCACAGCTACTAGAGAGGCTGAGGCAGGAGAATTGCTTGAACCCAGGAGGTGGAGACTGCAGTGAGCCGAGATCCAGCCACTGCACTCCAGCCTGGGTAAGAGAGCAAGACTCTGTTTCAAAAAAAAGAAGAAACAAGTTCAGTAGTCCCAGCTAACTTGGGAGGTTGAGGCAGGAGGATCCCTTGAGCTCAGGAGTTTGAGGCTGCTGTGAGCTATGATTGTATCACTGCACCCTAGCCTGTGTGACAGAGCTAGACCCTGTCTCTAAAAAATAAAGAAAGAAATAAAATTAAAATTTAAAAAATTGTTTAAAAAAGTAACAAGTTCAGTTTCACACAGTTAGCAAGTGGCTGAGTCTAGATTCTAACCCAGCATGTCTGGGATTAAGCAGGTCTCAGTTCAAAACCCAGCTCATCTGGCTGTATGACCTTGGGCAAGTTATTTAGCTTCTCTGAGCATCAGTTTCCTCATCTGAAGACAAGAATAGTAACGGTAACTATTTTGTGAAGACGATATATGCAAAAGTACTGAGAATGTTCTTTTTCTCTCATTGCATTTGTGCATTGTTTTATGTATAATGCATTATTCATACTGCTGGCAGGTGGAAGCAGAACCCTGCTGCCCGTGTCTGGGTGGGCGAGAGACTGGGGAAACACGGCCAGGAAGCAGCCCGGCAGATGGGGGCTGAGCGCACTGGCAGGGGCAGGAGGAGGTAAGTAAGCAACCGGAGAAGAGCTAAGGGGTCCTCGTGGGATTAGCCATGAGATTCCTAAATCCATAAGCAAAAATTGTGAAAATGGGGCCAGGGGCGGTGGCTCATGCCTGTAATCCCAGCACTTTGGGAGGCTGAGGCAGGCAGATCACTCCAGCCCAGGAGTTTGAGACCGGACTGGCCAACATGGTGACACCCCATCTCTACTAAAAATACAAAAATTAGCTGGGTGTGGTGGTGCATGCCTGCAATCCCAGCTACTCAGGAGGCTGAGGCACAAGAATTGCTTGATCCCTGGAGATGGAGGTTGCAGTAAGCCGAGGTCGTGCCACTGCACAACAGCCTGAGCGACACAGCAAGACTGTCTCAAAAAAAAAAAAAAAAAAAAAAAGTGAAAATGGTCCCCTGATGTGGCCTCCACTAGATACAGCCACCAAGGGCACCCCTGCTTTCTCCTTGCAGCGGGGAAAATGATTCTGTTGAGCAAGAAGAAAGTTGTGGGGCTGTGGACTTCCGGGATGGTCAGGCAGTGCCTGGCAGAAGGAAGGAGTGAGGTGAATAGGAAAAAACAGAAAGGCGGTGTGCTTGTTTCCTGTGGCTGCTGTAACAAATTGTCACAAGCTTGGAGATTAAAACAACAGAAATTTTTTCTCTCACGATTCTGGAGGCCAGAAATCTGAGATCAAGGTGTTGGCAGGGCCACACTGCCTCTGGAGGCTCTGGGAGAGAAGCTTTCCTTCTCTTTCAGCTCCTGGTGGCTGCGGGCATTCTTTGGCTTGTGACCGCCTCCCTCCCATCTCTGCTTCTGTCTTCACATGGCCTTTTGTAATTGTCTTCTCTCTTCGTCTTCTCTTGGAAGGATATTTGTTGAGCCAGGCACAGTGGCCCATGCCCTGTAATCCCAGCTACTGCAGAGGCTGAGTTGGGAGGAGCACTTGAGGCTAGGAGTTTGAGACGAGCCTGGGCAATACAGTAAGACCCCATCTGAAAGGTCAAAAAGAAAAGAAGACAACGAAAAATAAGAAAGAGCGAGCGAGAAGGAAAGATCTCATTTAGCACCCTCAAAAGCACAAAAAAAAAAAAAAAAAGGAAAGAGACACTTGTCATTGAATTTAGGACCCTCCCTAATCCAAGATAATCTCACCTTGAGATCATTCATTTAATTATGATTTCAAGGTCATATTGGAAAAAAGTGCTTCCAAAGGCTTTTTTTTTTTTTTTTTGAGATGGAGTCTCGCTCTGTCCCTGAGGCACTGCCACTGCAGTGGCGTGACCTTGGCTCACGGCTCACGGCAACCTCCACCTCCCAGGTTCAAGCAATTCTCCTACCTCAGCCTTCCTAGTAGCTGGGACTACAGGAGTGTGCCACCACGCTCTGCTAATGTTTGTATTTTTAGTAGAGATGGGGTTTCACTATGTTGGCCAGGCTGGTTTCAAACTCCCGACCTCAGGTGATCCGCCCGTCTCGGCCTCCCAAAGTGCTGGGATTACAGGCGTGAGCCTCAGCGCCCAGCCCCTGTGGACATATCTTAGGAGCCCACCCTTCAACCCACCTAAGCTAAGGAATATTCAGGTTGATGCTCCTCAAAACTTATAACCATTAATGATTTCAAGCATAAGAAACTATAGACATCCATTTACTCAGAACCCACATTTAACAGATGCTAACATTTTCCCATTATTTCTTTAATCTCTGTCTTAGAAAAAAAAAGATATAAAACATTACAGACATGTTTCTTTTCTTCCTTCTCTCCTTAGAGATAACCACAAGCCTGAACTTGGTCGTTCATTCTCATGCTTGTAATTATACTTTCACTACATATATATGTCTCTTTAAATAATGTATAGTTTGCGTGTCCTTTAAAAAAATTGTTATAAATAGAATGATTATATTTAGTATTTTTAAAATGAATAGCTTTATAGTGACAGAATTCATGTATCATAAAATCCATCCTTTGAAAGTATACAATTCAGCAGTTTTTACTATTTTCACAGAGTTGTGCAACCACCAAAACATTTTCATCACTCCTCCAAAAAAGCCCATACCTATTAGCCATTGCTCCTCCCCCTAGCCTCTGGCAACCACAAATCTACTTTCTGCCTCTGGATTTGCAAATTCTGGAGATTTCATATAAATGAAATCATATAACATATGATCTTTGGGGGCCTAGTTTTTAAAATGTGGCCTAATGCTTTCAAGATTCATCCATGTGGTAGCATGTATCAGTATTTTATTCCTTTTTGTGGCCAAATGACATTTCATTGTAGAGATGGGCCAAATTTTGATTATTCATTCAATTGATGGACATTTAGGTTGTTTCCACTTTTTTGGCTATGATGAAAAATGCTTATAAGACCATTCATGGGCTGGGCGCAGTGGCTCACACCCATAATCCTAGCACTTTGGGAGGTCAAGGAGGGCAGATCATGAGGTCAGGAGTTCGAGACCAGCCTGGCCAATATGATGAAACCCCGTCTCTACTAAAAATACAAAAATTAGCCAGACGTGGCGGCACGCACCTGTAATCCCAGCTACTCAGGAGGCTAAGGTAGAAGAATCGCTTGAACCCGGGAGGCAGAGGTTGCAATGAGCCGAGATCGTGCCACTGCACTCCAGCCTGGGCAACAGAGAGAGACTCCATCTCAAAAAACCAACAAACAAAACAAAACTAAACAAAAAAAACAAAAACATTCATGTACAAGTTTTTGTATGAACAAATGTTTCAATTCTTTTGGGTATATAATTAGAAGTAACATTGCTGGGTCATATGTTAACTGTGTGTCTATATTTTTTGTTTGTTTGTTTTGTTTTGTTTGAGACAGTGTCTTGCTCTGTTGCCCAGGCTGGAGTGCAGTGGCACAATTATGGCTCACTGCAGCCTCGACCTCCCAGGGCCCAGGTGATCCTCCCATATCAGCCTCCCAAGTAGCTGAGACTACAGGCATGCAGCACCACACCTAGCTAGTATTTTGTATTTTTTGTAGAGATAAGGTTTTGCCATGTTGCCAAGATTGTCTTGAACTCCTGGGCTCAAGCAATCTGCCTGCCTCAGCCTCCCAAACTGCTGAAATTAGAGGCATCAGCCACTGTACTCAGGTGTATGTCTAATTTTTGGAGGAAATGCTAAACTGTTTTCCAAAGTAGCTGCCGCATTCTACTTTCCCAGCAGCTATGTATAAGGGTTCCAATGTTTTCCCATCCTTACCAACACTTATTATTGTCCATCTTTCTGATTTTAGCCCTTCTAGTGGGTGTGAAGTGGTATCTAACTGAGGTTTTGAGCTTCATTCTTCTGATGGTGAATGATGTTGAGCATCTTTTCATGTGCTTATCGGTCATTTTGTATTTTCTTTGGAAAAATATGTATTCAAATTTTTGCCCATTTAAAAATTGGGTTATTTTTCTTTTTATTATTGAGTTGTAAGTGTGTATATGTATACACCTACGTATTTCTGCATTTTATTGGAGTATTTAGTCCACTTATATTTAATGTAGTCACTGATTTGGGGAGGTAATGTAATTACTGATAAAGTATCTAATTTTTCTTTCTTCTTTTTTTTTTTTTTTTTTTTTTTTTTTGAGAGACAGGATCTCATTCTGTCACTCAGGCTGGAGTGCAGTGGCATAATCATGGCTCACTATAGCTTCCACTTCCCAGGCTCAAGTGATCTTTCCTCCTCAGCCTCCTGAGTAGCTGGGACTACAATAGGTGTACGCCACCATGCCTGGCTAATATCTGTAGAGATGGGGTTTCACCATGTTGCTCAGGCTGGCTCAAGCAATTCACTCATCTCAGCTTCCCGAAGTGCTGGGATTACAGGCATGAGTCACCACACCCGGCCAAGTATCTAATTTTTCTACTTGTTTTCTACATGTCTGTGTTTCTTTTTTTTTTAAGACAGGGTCTCACTCTGTCACCCAGGCTAGAGTGCAATGGCATGATCTTGGCTCACTGCAGCCCCTGCCTCTTGGGGTCAAGCAATTCTCCCACCTCAGCCTCCTGAGTACCTGGGATTACAGGGGCGTGCCACCATGTCTGGCTGATTTTTGTACTTTTAGTAAAGATGGAGTTTCACCATGTCGGTCAGGCTGGTCTGGAACTCCTGACCTCAGGTGATACACCCGCCTCAGCCTCCCAAAGTGCTGGGATTACAGGTGTGAGCCAACGTGCCCAAACTGTATCTTTTTTTAAAAAACCTCTTTTCTTCCTCATGGCCTCCCTTTGTATTCAATAGATATTTCCTAGTGTACCATTATAATCCCCTTGTTGTTTCTTTTGCTATATGTACATTTGGATTTATTTTCTTAGTGGTTGCCTTGGAAATTACAAGTAACATCTTAGTCTAAAACAATCTAGTTTAGATTAATACCAACTTAATTTCAACAGTATGCAAAAACTTTACTTCAATATAGCTTTATTCCCTACCCTCTTTTTTGTGTTATGGTTGTCATAAAGATTACATCTTTCATATTATAAGCCCATCAACACAAGTTTGTGGTTTTTCCTTTAAGCAGTTGTCTTTTAAATCAGAAAGAATGAACAAAAATTAATACTTTATACTTATCGATGTTGTTACCTTTACTTGTGCTCATAATTTCTTTGTGTATATTCAAGTTACTGACTGGTGTCCTTTCATTTCGCCTGAAGCACTCCCTTTAGTATTTCTTATAGGGCAGGTCTCCTGGCAATAAATTCTCTTATTTTGTGTTTATCTGTGCATGTCTTGATTTCTTGATTTCTGAAGTATGGTTTTGCTAAACATAAAATTCTTGGTTGGCAATCATCTTCTTTCAGCTCTTTGACTATATCATCCCATTGCTTTTGGAACACTGTGGTTTCTGATGAGCAATCTGGTGCTAATCCTATTAAACTAATGAGTGGCTTTTCTTTGCTTTCAAGATTCTTTCTTGGTCTTTTGCTATTAGCACTTTGACTATAACACCTAGATGTGGATCTCACATCTAGGAGTGAGGTAGGAGTTTATCCTATGTGGCATTCATTGAGCTTCTTGGATGTAGAGATTAATCTTTTCCATCAAATCTGGGATATTTTCAACCACAATTCTTCAAATATTTCTTCTGTCCCTGTCTTCCTCTCATTTCCTTTTGGGATTCCTTTTATGTGTATGTTTGTATTCTTGATGGTATCCTACAGATCCCTGAGGTTCCATTCATTTTTCTCCATTCTTTTTTCTTTCTCTTGTTCCAAATGAATGCTCTCCATTAACCTGTTTAAAGGTTTGCTAATTCTTTCTGCCAGCTTAAATCTGCTGTTGAACCCTTCTAGCATATTTTTTTTTAATTCCAGTTATTGTACTTTTTGACTCCAAAATTCGTATTTGGTTCTCTTCTATAATTTCCATTTCTTTATTGATATCTTTAGTGACACATTATTCTCATAGTTTCTTTAGTTCTTTAGACATAGATCCCTTTAATTTTTGAACATATTTAAAAGAGCTGATTTAAAGTCTTTGTCTAGTAAGTTCAACATTGTGGCTTCCTAAAGGACAGGTTCCTGTGTATGGATCATATATTCATATATTTTTTTCATGTTTCATTTTTAAAATTGAAAACTGGACATTTTTAGTAATATAATGTGGCAACACTGAAAATCAAATTTCCCTTCTCCCCGGGGCTTTTGTTTTAGTTGTTTGTTGTTGCTATTTGTTTATTTAGTGACTTTCCTGGACTTATTCTGTAAAATCCATATTCCTTGTTGTGTGTGGTCACTAAATACTCTGCTGGGTTTGCTTAGTGGTCAGTTACTTATTTCACAAAGATGTCCTTATAGCTAGGCTGTTAATTAACTTCTTGTAAGGAGTAGAATGAGAGTAGGAGTTATATTCTTGGTTAAAAATAAATAAATAAATAAATTTATATATATAGCTTTTATCTGTTCCCTCTAAGGCCAGACTCTAACGGGCATCTCTGCCACTCTCCTTCTGCAGCTGCAGATCTTTTCTCAGTTGAGCTTC